>NT_167245.2:540375-616872 GCF_000001405.40 Homo sapiens
CACGAGAACTACGTGATGAATGCACAAGCCTCAGTAGCCGATGCAATCAACTGGAAGAAAGGGTATCAGTTATGGAAGACGAAATGAATGAAATGAAGCGAGAAGAGAAGTTTAGAGAAAAAAGAATAAGAAGAAACGAACAAAGCATCCAAGAAATATGGGACTATGTGAAAAGACCAAATCTATGTCTGATTGGTGCACCTGAAAATGACGGGGATAATGGAACCAAGTTGGAAAACACTCTGCAGGGTATTATCCAGGAGAACTTCCCCAATCTAGCAAGGCAGGCCAACATTCAAATTCAGGAAATACAGAGAATGCCACAAAGATACTCCTCGAGGAGAGCAACTCCAAGACACATGATTGTCAGATTCACCAAAGTTGAAATGAAGGAAAAAATGTTAAGGGCAGCCAGAGAGAAAGGTCAGGTTACCCACAAAGGGAAGCCCATCAGACTAACAGTGGATCTCTCGGCAGAAACTCTACAAGCCAGAAGAGAGTGGGGGCCAATATTCAACATTCTTAAAGTAAAGAATTTTCAACCCAGAATTTCATATCCAGCCAAGCTAAGCTTCATAAGTGAAAGAGAAATAAAATCCTTTACAGACAAGCAAATGCTGAGAGATTTTGTCACCACCAGGCCTGCCCTAAAAGAGCTCCTGTAGGAAGCACTAAACATGGAAAGGAACAACCTGTACCAGCCACTGAAAAAACATGCCAAATTGTAAAGACCTTCAAGGCTAGGAAGAAACTGCATCAACTAACAAGCAAAATAACCAGCTAACATCATAATGACAGGATCAAATTCACACATAACAATATTAACCTTAAATGTAAATGGGCTAAATGCGCCAATTAAAAGACACAGACTGGCAAATTGGATAAAGAGTCAAGACCCGTCAGTATGCTGTATTCAGGAAACCCATCTCACATGCAGAGACACACATAGGCTCAAAATAAAGCGATGGAGGAAGATCTACCAAGCAAATGAAAGACAAAAAAAGGCAGGGGTTGCAATCCTAGTCTCTGAAAAACCAGACTTTAAACCAACAAAGATCAAAAGAGACAAAGAAGGCCATTACATAATGGTAAAGGGATCAATTCAACGAGAAGAGCTAACTATCCTAAATATATATGCACCCAATACAGGAGCACCCAGATTCATAAAGCAAGTCCTTAGAGACCTACAAAGAGACTTAGACTCCCACACAATGATAATGGGAGACTTTAACACCCCACTGTCAACATTAGACAGATCAACGAGACAGAAAGTTAACAAGGATACCTGGGAATTGAACTCAGCTCTGCACCAAGCGGACCTAATAGACATCTACAGAACTCCCCACCCCAAATCAACAGAATATACATTCTTTTTAGCACCACACCACACCTATTCCAAAATTGACCACATAGCTGGAAATAAAGCTCTCCTCAGCAAATGTGAAAGAACAGAAATTATAACAAACTGTCTCTCAGACCACAGTGCCATCAAACTACAACTCAGGATTAAGAAACTCACTCAAAACCACTCAACTACATGGAAACTGAACAACCTGCTCCTGAATGACTACTGGGTACATAATGAAATGAAGGCAGAAATAAAGATATTCTTTGAAACCAACAAGAACAAAGACACAACATACCAGAATCTCTGGGACACATTTAAAGCAGTGTGTAGAGGGAAGTTTATAGCACTAAATGCCCACAAGAGAAAGCAGGAAAGATCTAAAACTGACACCAGAACATCACAATTAAAACATCTAGAGAATCAAGAGCAAACACATTCAAAAGCTAGCAGAAGGTAAGAAATAACTAAGATCAGAGCAGAACTGAAGGAAATAGAGACACAAAAAACCCTTCAAAAAATCAATGAATCCAGAAGCTGGTTTTTTGAAAAGATCAACAAAATTCATAGACCACTAGCAAGACTAATAAAGAAGAAAAGAGAGAAGAATCAAATAGACGCAATAAAAAATGATAAAGGGGATATCACCACCAATCCCACAGAAATACAAACTACCATCAGAGAATACTATAAACACCTCTACACAAATAAACTAGAAAATCTAGAAGAAATGGATAAATTCCTCGACACATACACCCTCCCAAGACTAAACCAGGAAGAAGTTGAATCTCTGAATAGACCAATAACAGGCTCTGAAATTGAGGCAATAATTAGCAGCTTACCAACCAAAAAAAGTCCAGGACCAGATGGATTCACAGCCGAATTCTACCAGAAGTACAAAGAGGAGCTGCTACCATTCCTTCTGAAACTATTCCAATCAATAGAAAAAGAGGGAATCCTCCCTAACTCATTTTATGAGGCCAGCATCATCCTGATACCAAAGCCTGGCAGAGACACAACCAAAAAAGAGAATTTTAGACCAATATCCTTGATGAACATTGATGCAAAAATCCTCAATAAAATACTGGCAAACTGAATCCAGCAGCACATCAAAAAGCTTATCCACCATGATCAAGTGGCCTTCATCCCTGGGATGCAAGACTGGTTCAACATATGAAAATCAATAAACGTAATCCAGCATATAAACAGAACCAAAGACAAAAACCACATGATTATCTCAATAGATGCAGAAAAGGCCTTTGACAAAATTCAACAACACTTCATGCTAAAAACTCTCAATAAATTAGGTATTGATGGGACGTATCTTAAAATAATAAGAGCTATCTATGACAAACCCACAGCCAATATTATACTGAATGGACAAAACTGGAAGCATTCCCTTTGAAAACTGGCAAAAGACAGGGATGCCCTCTCTCACCATTCCTATTCAACATAGAGTTGGAAGTTCTGGCCAGGGCAATCAGGCAGGAGAAGGAAATAAAGGGCATTCAATTAGGAAAAGAGGAAGTCAAATTGTCCCTGTTTGCAGATGACATGATTGTATATCTAGAAAACCCCATCGTCTCAGCCCAAAATCTCCTTAAGCTGATAAGGAACTTCAGCAAAGTCTCAGGATACAAAATCAGTGTGCAAAAATCACAAGCATTCCTATACACCAATAACAGACAAACAGAGAGCCAAATCATGAGTGAACTCCCATTCACAATTGCTTCAAAGAGAATCAAATACCTAGGAATCCAACTTACAAGGGATGTGAAGGACCTCTTCAAGGAGAACTACAAACCACTGCTCAATGAAATAATAGAGGATACAAACAAATGGAAGAACATTCCCTGCTCATGTGTAGGAAGAACCAATATCGTGAAAATGGCCATACTGCCCAAGGTAATTTATAGATTCAATGCCTTGCCCATCAAGCTACCAATGACTTTCTTCACAGAGTTGGAAAAAACTACTTTAAAGTTCATATGGAACCAAAAAAGAGCCTGCATTTCCAAGTCAATCCTAAGCCAAATGAACAAAGCTGGAGGCATCATGCTACCTGACTGCAAACTATACTACAAGGCTACAGTAACCAAAACAGCATGGTACTGGTACCAAAACAGAGATATAGAACAGTGGAACAGAACAGAGCCCTCAGAAATAATGCCACATATCTACCAGTATCTGATCTTTGACAAACCTGACAAAAACAAGCAATGGGGAAAGGATTCTCTATTTAATAAATGGTGCTGGGAAAACTGGCTAGCCATATGTAGAAAGCTGAAACTGGATCCCCTCCTTACACCTTATACAAAAATTAATTCAAGATGGATTAAAGACTTCAATGTTGGACCTAAAACCAGAAAAACCCTAGAATAAAACCTAGGCAATACCATTCAGGACATAGGCATGGGCAAGGACTTCATGTCTAAAACACCAAAAGCAATGGCAACAAAAGCCAAAATTGACAAATGGGATCTAATTAAACTAAAGAACTTCTGCACAACAAAAGAAACTACCATCAGAGTGAATAGGCAACCTACAGAATGGGAGAAAATTTTTGCAACCTACCCATCTGACAAAGGGCTAATATCCAGAATCTACAGTGAACTCCAACAAATTTACAAGAAAAAAACAAACAACCCCATCAAAAAGTGGGTGAAGGATATGAACAGACATTTCTCAAAAGAAGACATTTATGCAGCCAAAAAACACATGAAAAAATGCTCATCATCACTGGCCATCAGAGAAATGCAAATCAAAACCACAATGAGATACCATCTCACACCAGTTAGAATGGTGATCATTAAAAAGTCAGGAAACAACAGGTGCTGGACAGGATGTGGAGAAATAGGAACACTTTTACACTGTTGGTGGGACTGTAAACTAATTTAACCATTGTGGAAGTCAGTGTGGCGATTCCTCAGGGATCTAGAACTAGAAATACCATTTGACCCAGCCATCCCATTGCTGGGTATATACCCAAAGGATTATAAATCATGCTGCTAGAAAGACACACACACACATATGTTTATTGCGGCACTATTCACAATAGCAAAGACTTGGAACCAACCCAAATGTCCAACAATGATAGAGTGGATTAAGAAAATGTGGCACATATACACCATGGAATACTATGCAGCCATAAAAAATGATGAGTTCATGTCCTTTGTAGAGTCATGGATGAAGCTGGAAACCATCATTCTCAGCAAACTATCACAAGGACAAAAAACCAAACACCGCATGTTCTCACTCATAGGTGGGAATTGAACAATGAGAACACGTGGTCACAGGAAGGGGAACATCACACACGGGGGACTGTTGTGGGGTGTGGTGAGGGGGCAGGGATAGCATTAGGAGATATACCTATTGCTAAATGATTAGTTAATGGGTGCAGCACACCAACATGGCACATGTAGACATATGTAACAAACCTGCACGTTGTGCACATGTACTCTAAAACTTAAAGTATAATAATAATAAAATTTTAAAAAAGTAATGTTCAAGTTTATTTGGGTATGAAATTCTAATACCATCCAGAGAGAGTTCATGCTGCTTCAAAATAATTTTAAGTGTAATTCTACAAATAAAGAAACCATTTATATCAATAAAAAAATAAAACCATAAAATTTTAAAAATAAAGAGATGAATATTGAAGATAATCTGATTAGGTAAGATGTTGGTTTATTTCATTTCATACTCTAAGCACATTTTTTTCATAATGGAATTATGCTCTACATGCCCTCCTCAGGAAACTTCCCAGGAAGGTCATCATAATGCTGTTGTTTTGTGCTCATTATTGTTACAAATTCAAAAAATGTAAAAAATATGACAAGAAATATACCCAATAAAGATATTTATGGTGCAAACACATCCCTCTTCCACTCCTTACTCCATCTCACTATTTGCCATTTTTCACTTTTCTGAAGATATTCTTTACACATATTAGTGTATGTGGGGTAGTTGTGTATGTGTTCATGTGTTTTAATAGATACATTTATTTATATATGCATATTGATAGGTTAGTAGAGAGATAACATCCTGTGTCATCTTATAAATACCATCTTGTAACTTTTTTCTCCTTAAATATATCAATTCTCTAACTACAGACTTGCCTCGCTATTTTTAATAAATGCAAAATATTACATTATGAAGATGTGTTTAACAACTTCAGGACTGGTAGTCATTTATGAGATGTGTAGCTTTTTGCTAATGCAAACAACACTGCAACAAAGGTCTTTGTACACCCACTTCTGAATGAATATGTGCAAATTTGTGTCAAGTGAATACTTTTATGTATCAAATACATCAATAATTTAAGGCCTTTAAGTGATCTTAGGTCTTTTGCCTAATATTTCTACATTTAAATTTTTATTGTTTTGAAATTAAAGATAGGAATTTATTTATTTTTTTCCTGATTTTAAATCAGTTAGCACACACACACTCCATTGAAACGTTCTGCCTTTACGTAATGATATGAAATTACTCCTTCATGATAAAGTAAATCTCCATACACATTTGGGTTCATTTCTGAAGCCTGATATGAAATGCTTTCAAAAACCTTGCTTCGCATTATTTATTTGAGAGCAAGTTAATTTAGTGGTTTTGATAAGTATACTTTTTAAAATAAAGAAATGCAAAGTCTGGTATTTAAGCTTATCTGTCCAAGAAGACGATTAAGTATTTATACACAGTCTTAGCATTTTCATGTCTATTATTTTTCCTACTATTCCAGAAAGATTGTAACAGAAAAAAAAGGCTAATATAATGGAGATAGTGGGCCAGAATATATGTTGAATTACAATTTCAACCTTCACTCTGAGGGGCCTAGATTAGTTATGCTCAATAACTTGGAGGAGGAAAAACTAGATCAAATTTGGAAGCATTGGTTTGTGTTCCTAGTCTACCTGTCTGTAATCTTGAGAAACTTTGATTTTCTCAGTTTTGGAATTGTCATCAGCTAAATATGAATAATGAAAATGTATTTTCCTAATTTATATAGTGACAATGTTATCCAATGAATCAATATGTCTTATGTTTGTGAAGTATCTTATACAATACATTAAGTGAGAATGAGGAAACACTATAGGAAGAAATAGGAAAAAAAAATCATATTTTAAACTTACATTATTTTAACGAGTGCATGAAGTTGTCATATCTTTATCAGAATAATAAGTACATGTGAAGGAAAAATTTACCTATTTCATAATCCATATTTAAAAAATCACCTTGACATTGGCTCTGTTTAAGTGACGGATTACGTTTATTGATTTGTGTATGTTGAACCAGCCTTTCATCCCAGGGATGAAGTCGATTTGATTATGGTGGATAAGCTTTTTGATGTGCTGCTGGATTCGGTTTGCCAGTATTTTATTGAGGATTTTCACATCGATGTCATCAGGGATATTGGCCTGAAATTTTCTTTTTTTGTTGTGTCTCTGCCAGGTTTTGGTATCAGGATGATGCTGGCCTCACAAAATGAGTTAGGGAAGATTCCGACTTTTTCTATTGTTTGGAATAGTTTCAGAAGGAATAGTACCAGCTCCTCTTTGTACCTCTGGTAGAATTCGGCTGTGAATCTGTCTGATCCTGGGCTTCTTTTTTGGTTGGTAGGCTATTAATTACTGCCTGAATTTCAGAACTTGTTATTGGTCTATTCAGGGATTAGATTTCTTCCTGGTTTAGTCTTGGGAGGATGTATGTGTCCAGGAATTTATCCATTTCTTCTAAATTTTCTAGTTGATTTGCATAGAGTTATTTATAGTATCCTCTGATGGTAGTTTGTATTTCTGTAAGATCAGTGGTGATATCCCCCTTATCATTTTTTGTCGTGTCTATTTGATTCTTCTCTGTTTTCTTCTTTATTAGTCCAGTTAGTGGTCTATTTTGTTAAGCTTTTCAAAAAACCAGCTCCTGGATTCATTGATTTTTTGAACGGTTTCTTGTGTCTCTATCTCCTTCATCTCTGCTCTGATCTGTTATTTCTTGTCTTCTGCTAGCTTTTGAATTTGTTTGATCTTTCTTCTCTAGTTCTTTTAATTGTGATGTCAGGTTGTTTATTTTAAAGGCCTTCAATAAAATTCAACACCTCTTCATGCTAAAAACTCTCAATAAACTAGGTATTGATGGAACGTGTCTCAAAATAATAAGAGCTATTTATGACAAACCCAAAGCTAATATCATACCGAATGGGCAAAAGCTGGAAGCAGTCTCTTTGAAAACCAGCACAAGACAAGAATGCCCTCTCTCACCACTCCTATTCAACATAGTATTGGAAGTTCTGGTCAGGGCAATCAGGCAAGAGAAAGAAATAAAGTGTATTCAAATGGGAAGGCAGGAAGTCAAATTGTCTCTGTTTGCAGATGACATGATTGTATATTTAGAAAACCCCATCGTCTCAGACCTAAATCTCCTTAAGCTGAAAAGCAACTTCAGCAAAGTCTTAGGATACAAAATCAATTTGCAAAAATCACAAGCATTCCTATACACCAATAATAGACAAACAGCCAAATCATGAGTAAACTCCCATTCACAATTGTTACAAAGAGAATAAAATACCTAGGAATACAACTTACAAGGAATGTGAAGGACCTCTTCAAGAAGAACTCCAAACCACGGCTCAAGGAAATAAGAGAGGACACAAACAAATGAAAAAACATTCCATGCTCATGGATGGGAATAATCAATATCGTGAAAATGGACATACTGCCTGAAGTAATTTAGAGATTCAATGCTATCCCCATCAAGTTACTATTGACTTTCTTCACAGAATTAGAAAAAAACTACTTTAAATTTCATATGAAACCAAAAAAGAGCCCGTATAGCCAAGACAATCATAAGCAAAAATAACAAAGCTGGAGGCATCATGTTACCTGACTTCAAACTATACTACAAGGATACAGTAACCAAAACAGCATGGTACTGATACCAAAACAGATATATAGACCAATAGAACAGAACAGAGGCCTCAGAAATAATGCCACACATCTACAACCATCAGATCTTTGACAAACCTGACAAAAACAAGCAATGGGGAAGGGATTTCATATTTAATAAATGGTTTTGGGAAAACTGGCTAGCCATATGCAGAAAACGGAAACTGGACCCCTTCCTTACACCTTATAAAAAAATTAACTCAAGATGGATTAAGATTTAAATGTAAGACCCAATATCATAAAAACTCTAGAAGATAACATAGACAATACCATTCATGACATAGGCATGGTCAAAGACATCATGACTAAAACACCAAAAGCAATGGCAACAAAAGCCAAAATAGACAAATAGGATCTAATTAAACTAAAGAGCTTCTGCACAACAAAAGAAACTATCATCAGAGTGAACAGTTAACCTACGGAATGGAAGAAAATTTTTGCAATCTATCCATCTGACAAAGGACTAATATCCAGAATCTACAAATAACTTAAACAAATTTACAAGAAAAAAAACAACCCCATCAAAAAGTGGGTGAAGAATATGAACAGACACCTCTCAAAAGAAGGCATGAAGACATTTATGTGGTCAACAAACATATGAAATGAAGCTCATCATCATTGGTCATTAGAGAAATGCAAATCAAAACTACAATGAGATACCATCTCATGCCAGTTAGAATGGTGATCATTAAAAAGTCAGGAAACAAGAGAGGCTGGAGAGGATGTGGAGAAATAGGAATGCTTTTACACTGTTGGTGGGTATGTAAATTAGTTCAACCATTGTGGAAGACAGTGTGGTGATTTCTGAAGGATCTAGAACCAGAAATACCATTTGACCTAGAAATCCCATTACTGGATATATACCCAAAGGATTATAAAACATTCCACTATAAAGACACACGCACATATATGTTTATTGCAGCACTATTTACAATAGCAAAGACTTGGAACCCAAATGCCCATCAGTGATAGACTGGATAAGGAAAATGTGGCACATATACACCATGGGATACTATGCTGCCATAAAAAAGAATGAGTTTATGTTCTTTGCAGGGACATGGATTATGCTGGAAGCCATGATTCTCATTAACTAACACAGGAACAGCAAACCAAACACTCCTTATTCTCACTCATAAATGGGAGTTGAACAATGAGAACACATGGACACAGTGAGGGGAACATCATACATTGGGGCCTGTTAGAGGGTGGGGTGCATTAGGAGAAACACCTAATGTAGATGACGGGTTGATGGGTGCAGCAAACCACCATGGCATGTGTGTACCTATGTAACAAACCTGCACGTTCTGCACATGTATCCCAGAACTTAAAGTATAATGAAAAAAATCATCTTGGCAACCATGAGATTTAGTCTTGCTTGAATTAATTTTCTTTCTTCTTAGATGACTCTCCAAACTTACATGCCCAAAGTTTGTATTTTGTTAGAAACATTTTCTTGATTTCTTCTGTGGCATACTCATTTTCTAGTCCCTCTGGTTATTTTTCCCTGGACATGTTGGCAGCAGTAGAGGCTAATTATTTTGAATCTCGGAGGCTTAAACGGAAGTATGAGAGTGAGGCAGTAATGGCATGAAAGCTCCCTGAAGAGCTATGTATTCTATGGATGGCCATCAGTTGGAGTTGGTTTCTTGAGGTTGACCCTTCAGTAGGTCAGAGAGAGCTGGGTTGATGTTAAAGAGGGCTGAGAAGAAATTCAAACAACAAACTGGTTTGAGGATCATGTTTGGGCCCCAGGTCAGTCTTCCAGGACTCCGTATCTCCATGTCACATTCCAGACAAACTGATGGATTACAACCCAGCATCAGGTAAATGTTGAAGGGATTTGGAGAGGGAATATTAATTAAAGTTGTCATCACTTCGTGGAGTAGGCTGAAGGGAGCACTCAGGAGTAGAACTATAAAATAAAAATTTTTTAAAATGTAAAAAGGTTTATTCTACAAGCCACATACATTTTTGTTTGAGAGAACAATAAGCTTATGAAAAGTATACTGATGTAGGATTCAAAATATTGTATTATTCAAATCTTTTCTTCTGAATTTACTAGATCTATAAACTTGAGCAAGTCCTACAACCTCTTGGTGCCTGCGTTTCCTCTCTTCTGTTATATAAAAAAATCGTTCTTTAGAGGCATATTATAAGAAGAAAACAAACATACTTGTATGAAAGCAATTATATACTTAAAATTTAAGTTTATGGATAGAAAATTTGATATGAACTATCTGGTGTTTGCCAATCTTTGTTAAACACTATTCTATTATTAGGAGACTGATGGAAAAATATGTGTTACCAATCATGTTATTTACCTTTGAAACTTTATATTTTCATTTAAGTATTTTTAGGTGTACCTTTTTTTAACCACTTTTCTAGACTGAAACTGCTATTTCCATTACAAAGATTGTAGCTATTAAGATGTTGATTTTTGAGAAAATTTAGCTCTGAAAGGCCTACCACTCAGATAATCAAAGGTTGTTTAAATCCATTAGCTGGGTGTGGTGGTGCACACCTGTAATTCCAGCTGCTCTGGAGGCTGAGACAGGAGAATCGTGTGAACCTGGGAAGCGGAGGTTGCAGTGAGCTGAGATCACATCACTGCACTCCAGCCTGGGTGGCAGAACAGAAACAAAAACAAAAACAAACAACAACAAAAAGTTGTTTAAATCTATGACAATTTAGAACAAGGGAATCTGATAGCATGGAATTAAAACTATAGCAAAAGTTCTTACAAAGTAACATGAAGAGGAAGTATATAAAATAAGTCAGGTAGAATGAAAATCTAAATATTGTTTCAGTTTTGTTTATTAACATATTATATTAGAGCCATGCTTAGAAAGTTAATGAAGAGTGTATTAGGATGTAAACGTTTAAAATAATGGGCTTCATGTGTTCTTAAACCATGTGGTCAGATACTTCTACTCTGCTCACCCTTCGTTTTTTTGTGCACTCCATTTGCCAGAGATCTATAGATTCTTCTGTCTCCCAGCTCCAGTTTTTCACCCTCAAGGGGATTATCAGCCTGTTTTTAACTTTTGATTTAGGCGAATTCCGTATTATTCTTATACAGTCAGAAAGGCAAGAACTCCCTGCATCCTTTCTAGACATTTAAACTGAATTACTGAATTTAGTCTTAGATCTTTCATTTTTATTTTCTATTTTTCTTCCATTTCTTTTTATATTCATATATTTGACAGCTACTTATGTGACTATTACTATGTATCAGACAAAAATTTACCATCTTTATGTACTTCTTTTTTCTGTCTTATTTTTTTCTTTCCATTTTTCTTCTCTCTTTACTTTCTGAGTTTATCTGCTGCTATTATTTCCTTGTTACTCATTTTACCTCTATTTCCTATAAATTTTCAATATTTAAGCACAAATGAAGTATATGGAAAACCAGGGGAACAGGCTACATATACTTCTTTAATAACTTTACTGTTTTCCTCGGGTAAAGTATATAATTAATTTTATTCATAACTTTCCAAACTTACCCCAGAAACTTAATAGTACTTAATAGAACTTAATAGAAACAAATAGCTGTGCCTACTGGAAGAGAAGCAGTAGAAAAATATAAAGATTGTGAAAATGTTATTACTAATTTTGAAATGTAGGAAAAGAAACACAGCTTTCTTCAGATTTAGAACATTATCTGAGTTCTAACTAAATGAGATTCTGAAAGAGACTCTAGCAAGAAAACAATCCAGACAGAATGAAGGTAGCATTCCAAAATTGTCTTTTTAGGATTTTAATTGGACAAGGAATTACTTGAATACTGATTAAGAAGTATTCTTCTATAAGAAATCCTACAACACAGAAGAAGTCTTCCTTTGACCATAATAGATAAGGCAAAATTTGATTCAGAAATATATATGTAAAGATAAAATTGTTTCTCAGTATTGAATCAAAATATATTCATATAATAATCTTCTAATCAACTGGCAGAGATATGTGTTCCATTTCTTTGGGGATACAATACAAAATGTAATCATATATATATATATATATATATTATATATATATATATATTATTTTTTTTTTTTGAGACGGAGTCTCACTGTCTCCCAGGCTCGAGTGCAGTGGTGCGATCTCGGCTCATGGCAAGCTCCGCCCCCTCCGGGTTCACGCCATTCTCCTGCCTCAGCCTCCCGAGTAGCTGGGACTACAGGTGGCTGCCACCACACCCGGCTAATTTTTTTTTTTATTTTGAGTAGAGACGGGGTTTCACCTTGTTCGCCAGGATGGTCTCGATCTCCTGACCTCATGATCCGCCCGCCTCGGCCTCCCAAAGTGCTGGGATTGCAGGCGTGAGCCACCCCGCCCGGCCGTAATCATATTTTTAAGGCTCTATTCCTAAAGACTCACTGTCCCAGGTGAGAAATGGGAGAAGAAAGGAATTGGATAGCACCAGTTTGAATGAAGAGTGGCATTATAGAGATACAAAATGACAAGGTTTAAAAAAGGAGACGTCCCAGAAGTTTCTAGAATCACTTCTATGTAATTTTACCATGTGAGTAGTCCTACTAATATTGCAGCTACTGCTTTTGTATTATATGTGGTCTTTTATAAGTTTTTTTTTAATTTACAAAGGAAATATACATTTAATTGTCATTAAAGTACTATGGAGTTTATATGCAAGTATTTTAATTCTCTTGATCTGGTTGAACAAACCAGGTCACAAGGGTATGAAGTGACATATTTAAAGTCCATGCATTTTTAGTAAGTAAAATAAATGTATTTATTGGTTAATTAGTTACATCAATTTGAGAATTAGCAATAAAACCCTAAAACTGCCAATGGGGCATATTTTAACTCTGCTTTGACCTCTTGGGCTCTGAATTAGTAAATGATGTATATGGGTTTGGTTGTGATGAAATATCAGTGAAACTGATTGAGGTCATAGGTGAAAAATAATGATATCAAAATGCTAATGTAATCTAGGAATAACATATCAGAGCACCAAAGGAAAAAGCTTCATGATTGCTGGTTTCAACTAAATTCAAATTGATTAACATGTAGTAAATATCTATTATATTTAACATATACTCTTATGTCTAAAAGTCACGTGCTGACTCTTTTCAAAGAGTATGTAATCGATATAGTCAGGAAAACATATCGAGTACAAAAAAGACAGAAAAAAATCTCTATCTCTCCCATATATAGATATATATCTATATATGAGTATATATGTATATCATGAAAAAATTATCAAATCATATATACATGATATATATATATCATGTATATATATATATATCATGTATATATGTCATATTTATAAATGAGTATATCATCAAGAAATTACAAATAAAATGCTCTGGACGACCAGTAAGAAAGGAGAGCAGGAAATACTTAAGGACATTTTTATATTTGAGATGATCCTTACAGGATACATAACAACAATGGCATTTCACATCAGCATAAATACAAGGGGTCAAGGGGGAAGGTCACAAGTTTGGTTGGATCAGTGAATATGTCTGCATGGTTCAAGCGATTGTTATATGAGGCCTGAGTCCAAGGTTGCATTTTAATATAATGTGTCAGAATATGGAGAGCCACTGAATAATTTTGAATTGAAATGTACATGGCCACATTTTAACGATGGAAAGACTGTTCTCCAAACCAGCTAGGTTGTTTTGAAGATGAGAGAACAATTGTAAGTAAGAATACCAGTTTGAAAGCTAGAGATCATGGGACACTGAACTATTTTCTGTATGTCTGCCTTAATGTTTTTAGATAGATACAGATTTAATAGATAGATTTGAGAGACAATGGTGAAGAAGAAATTACTCCAGCTGACATCTTACGTGACATGTATGCAATTATAATTCAAAGAGAATGATGACCTCTGCATACCAAAAGAATTGTTATTCTATAAGCAAATGAAGAAATTAGAAGTGTTAATGGATGGATACTAAAATCAGTTTTGAATTTAGTGATTCTTATGTTTAGCTGTGAAGCAAGTTTTTATCCCTATCATTTCTCACTGTCACTCATTTCATTCACACGGATACCGTAACTCAGATGACACGATTTGAAATATAGAGCTGGCCAACTAAGTACATGAACCCTACTAAGTCAGGATCACAAGAAGAATATGACATAGGGCAACTGAGAGGATCAGAAAAGTAAATAGAGGATCCTGAGCTGATTTCAGAGCAGTCACATTTTGTTTACTATCCTCTAATAAATATTTGTTTATTGTTACAAATATCATTATAAACTGCATAAATGCATAAAAATAAAACAACTGTAATACATCTGGGGATTCATAATTAGGTAAGTATATAATAATTGTTAATAGTCATTGAATTATTAGTATATGACAAGAACTGAGCTATGTTTGCAATGTACACTCTATTCCTTAATTTGTACACTAGTTCTATGAGATGGGTATAATTATGCTTATTTGAAAGATGAGAAAATTGAAGCACACAAAGATTAAATGACATCTCCAAAGTCACACAGCTAATGAATGGAATGACTGGGATTTGGAGGAAATCCCAGTCTTTTATAAATGTCTTTTATAAAACAACTAGAGAAAAACACAAGACAAATTTACTAAAAGATAAGAGTCAAACAAAAAAAGAAATTTGGGATTGTAGGGAATGGAAAAATTTGCAATTGGAGTTATTCTTTAGAAATTATATGATAAAGGAATTGTGTAATTTGGATGGGCAAAGAGCAGGATAGAGGCAATTTTGGTGGAAAAAATAGTATCAGTAATTAGAAAATATGAGAATAAAGAAGGGAGAGAGAGGGAAAATGATTAAGTTTATATGTGCTGAGAATGATGCTGAGAGATTACAAATTCATATACATCCTCAAATTTCAAGGATTCACATATTTAAAACTCTTTCTGGTGATTTCTTCCAGAGATTAAAATTTCATCAAATGTATCCAGATATTTTTAAAGTTGCATTTTCACAGCAAACAAATTTCTAAGGACTGATTGTTTTTTTGTGTGTGTAATTTTGTTTGTTTTTTTGGCTTTTTTCTCCCTATTTTTAAATGTTCTGAGTAGGACTAGCATTAAAGCTTGGAAGGGGTAAAACGAGTCATGGCACTCCATCCTTTTATCATGCAGACTTTATAAAGTGCTCCAGTTCTTATGGTGTTTTCTGACCAGGATCTGTACCAAGCAGATGAACATGCCAAGATGTCTTCGTTCTCCCTGGCTGCACATCCTCCTGTAGTCTTCATGCCGGCCTTCGTTTGACCTGTTTTTGGGAAGTTCTGCCTTTTCCTTCTATTTTAATCTACACTCTGTTGCCACCATTACATATCCATGCATGTAGAGTTGATGGTAGTATACTAAAACTTTTTAGAAGAGAAGATATGAAAACCCAAATGGAGTGAATAGCTAACCAGAAGACATATATTAAATAAGCAAAATTCCCAACTATGTTGCTGGTGTGGTATTTATTCTGTTCTCAGTAATCTTTCAATATTACATTGATGATGTTGTCTCCACATTTCATCATAATCAGGATGTAGATGCAAATGATATTTTACTGTAATGAAGATACAGATGCCGATTAGAGCAAAAATGAAAATTTCATCTTGGCATCTCTGATCTCTAATTCTCAGTGGCTTCCTCCTACTGTTGATGTCTATCCCTAACTGTGGGTATTTAGAGGTCTCAGCTGGAATTTCACCTCCCAGTGCTAACATGTGGATCAACAATCAAAGCTCGCTAGATGATTTTATCCTATTGGGATTTTCTGACCGTCCCTGGCTAGAGACACCCCTCTGTAATCTTTCTGGTGGCCTACATCTTTTCCCTATTTGGAAATATCTCCATTATCCTAGTTTCCCATCTGGATCCCCAGCTTGACAGTCCCATGTACTTTTTTGTCTCTAATCTATCCTTTCTGGACCTCTGCTATACCACCAGCACTGTCCCACAGATGCTGGTCAACCTCCGGGGACCAGAAAAGACCATTAGCTATGGGGGTTGTGTTGCCCAACTCTATATATTTTTGGCCCTGGGTTCTACTGAATGCATACTTCTAGCCATCATGGCCTTTGACCGTTACGCTGCCATATGCAAGCCCCTTCACTACCCAGTCATCATGAACCATAGACGCTGTATCCACATGGCTGCTGGCACTTGGATCAGTGGCTTTGCTAACTCCCTTGTCCAGTCCACTCTCACAGTGGTGGCCCCAAGATGTGGACAGAGGGTGTTGGACCATTTCTTCTGTGAAGTTCCAGCCCTTTTGAAACTAGCCTGTATTGATATTCGTGTGAATGAAATGGAGCTCAATGTACTAGGCGCTTTGCTTCTCCTGATGCCACTCACCCTCATCCTGGGCACTTATGTGTTCATTGCTCAGGCAGTAATGAGAATCTGCTCTGCTGAAAGTCGCTGGAAGGCTTTCAATACCTGTGCCTCACATTTGCTGGTGGTCTCCCTCTTCTACTTCACAGCCATCAGTATGTATGTCCAGCCTCCCTCTAGCTATTCTCATGACCGGGGGAAGATCATGGCTCTCTTTTATGGCATTGTCACACCCACCCTCAACCCATTCATCTACACATTGAGAAACAAGGATGTGAAAGCTGCCCTGAGAAGGTCACTGACTAAAGAGTTTTGGATTAAGACAAGATGATATCTGAAAAGAAGTCCTAAGAAGCGAGGATAGATGTGTTTGACTTTCAAAAAGATGTTGGACATGGAATTGATGAGGGAACAGTATCAAGTGACACAAAGTTTACAAGTGGAACAAGACTAAGAAAAAAACAATTAACTCTTGGTAAAATCTACATAGCATTTTTTCACTTACGAGACTATCTGCTTTACAGTATTGGATTCCATCAAGTCAGTCTTTTTTCTCCCTATTCCTAATGACTAGCTAATCTAGTTAAAGTAAGGGAAAATGGTATAATAGCTAGAGAAAAAGATACTGAGAAAGTTTAGGAAATATATTTAGCATAAATTGTTTATAAATGAATCCCAATTAAATTAGAAATGATCCCAACTCTTAGAAAAACATGCCAGTACTATCGTGAGGTAATTTTGATCAACATGTATTGCCACCATTTAGCCATCTTCTAACATTCGATGTCCAATTATATCACCCTCAAATGCTTTTGTAAGGTCTCACAGGCAAGTAAAATCAAGAGACAATTAGTTCAAAAACATTAAGATGGAATTATGGAAAGAGAAATTAATGAACAAATTTAGAGGTGATGATTTTAAATATATTTTTTTTGCCATGAATTCTTTTAAATACAAATTTTTTTTGCCATAAATGTTTTGCCTTAGTCAATCTTATGCTCTTGTGGTACACAACAATGAGGCCTAGGTCAATGCAAATAGAACTTACTCTGGGGGGAAAGATGAACAGTGAGATGCTTTGGATAGTGATCAGCAGGGGAAAAACCTGAGGTGGAAAAAATTCTAATTTAGGGACACAAACTCAGTGGGAATTTACATGTTTTGACAAGGCAGCTTTCTTCACCACTTGACTGGGTAATTTAGTCCTATTTCAGTGTGGGGGTTTGAGAATACCATGTGGAATTCAAAACTTTGGTTGATCTATTATCTTTATTTAGAAAAAAAAGACTTTTATAGCCTTTTGCTATAAACTGCCTCACAAACCTATGAGCCGAAGAAACCAAGACAAAATAGAGTGAGTTCACCAAAAAATCCACATCATTAAAAGAACAGTGCAAAGCTCTATTTCCTGTACTGTGAGCATGTCCACTTTCTGTGGCTCCCGGTGGTGAGACAGATGAGAAGCTGGAACACAGATAAAAGGTTTTTGGGAACACTTTTGAAGGCCTGTGGCTATATAAGAGAAAGTGAGTTCATTTCCTTAATTCTAGTATAATCTGGAAAAGGATCCTAGACATTATGCATTTTTTTGATCACAGTATTTTTCCCAACCCATGGTTCATTTATACATGGAGTCTGCTATTGGCATGAAATAAAATACATCCTAATATGTATTATGAAAAAAACGCTTATTGTATTTATTTATTCTATTAAAGCAGTATATTTCTCAGAGGTTGAATGTTGGGGGTTTTTGTGGTCATTTAATAAAAATGTTAACATATTCTTGAGTTTGTTTGTTTAACTTAGAAGTATAAATAGAACTCAAAATAATTGAACATTGAAACTACTGTGTTGCATTGGAATAAACATGGATATATTATGTTGAGAAAATCACATGTATTTTTAAATTAAAATATGGGTGCTTGGAGAAATGTTTTGCTGATGTGGGTGGCTGCTCAAGATATGTCCCCCAAGCCCTAGAAATATATTTTGATTCACTTTCATTATTACAGATATGCCAGAGAAAAATTTTATCTTTAAACAGTTTTAAATTTTTGACTTTATAAAGGTATAATATTTCTGCATGTATGCTGCCTGAGATTTTGGAAGGCTATATATTTAAATATATCATTAAATAAATTATAGTACCTGTACTATCAAGCAAGCAAATCAAAATAAGGCAATGTTGAACAAGTTTAATAAGGAAATATTTTAAGTATTCCTGAAAGTATTACCAAAACATTAGTAAAGTTATTAAATATTAAAAGTTACTAAATATTACATCAATTATGCAAATAATTGGCAAGCCATTAAATAGAAATAGGCCCTGTGCTATAGGAGCAGTAGGAAAACATATTCAATAAGGTAAAAATATTTATATCAGAACAAAGTCTACTATCATATTTATTCTAGGAGAAGTGGATAATTCCCAACACTTTTAGAAATAATAGAAATTTTCTGACTCTCATCACAGTTATATATTGTTGGTTTGGATTAACTACCCAACATGATTTAAAAATAATATTAGTAAATTATTAAATAAAAATATTTATTTGTTATATCTTATAAAACAACATAAACAGCAACATTTAAATGAGCTGTTGCTATGATGAGGTTTATCTTATGATGAAAATGCATTCCTTTATTTGGTAAATATTTATTGATGGCAACTATGTACAAGTCACTGAAATAAAATTAGACATTTACCTTTACATCAAGGAATACAACTTTTGAAAAAAACTGAGAAATAAAAAAGGCAGAACTGAGCATCCAGACTAAGGCAGAATTTGTCATAAAAAGTGTCAGAAAAGATAATGCTAAACATAGAAAAATCTTTCACGACTTGCAGAATGATGTGATTTGGCTCTGTGTCCCCATCCAAATCTCATCTCGATTGTAATCCCCATATGTTGAGGGAGGGAGGTGACTGGATCGTGGGGGTGGTTTCTCCTATTCTGGTCTCGTGACAGTGAGTTACTTTTCATGAGATCTGATGGTTTTACAAGCCTCTGGCATTTCCCCTGCTTGCACTTCTCTCTCCTGCCACCATGTGAAGAAGGTCAGTGCTTCCTCTTCACCTTCCACCATGATTGTAAGTTTCTTGAGGCCTCCCCAGCCATGTGGAACTGTGAGTCAATTAAACCTCTTTTCTTTACAAATTACCCAGTCTTGGGTATTTCCTTATAGCAGTATGAAAATGGACTAATACACAGAGAGAGGGCCCTGCTTGAGTTTAGCTGAGCGCTGATTTGCATGTGTGTGAGGAAGCTATCCAAGAATGAGGAAAGAACCACTTAATGGATTAAGGTAAATAGTGCCCAATGCTTATGCAAAGGCTGGGAATTTTGTGGGTTCTCAAGCTATTTATGTGCCAGAATGAAAACCTAAGAATTCCTGAGGCATTGAGTTTAGCAATCAAAAGTGTCTTGCTTCAAGAATTTCAATAATTAGCTCTAAACTAAACACTGTTCTGGTTTTACCTAACAAATCTTCAAAACAAGTGACTAAAGTATCAAACTGTATCCAAGTAACTTAGTAACACTCCAGAATAAACTCAAGGGTATTTATAGGATTACAGATATACCCAGTAAAAGAAAATTTTCCAATGAAAATTTACTAAGCATGAAAAAAAGCAGGAAAATATGATGTAAGGAGAAAAATCAATAAATCAAACCTGACTCAGAACTGACACATATGTTAGAATGATTCAAGTTATGGCATTAAAACAATTATACTGTTTACCATATGTTCAAAAATTTAGAGACGAGGAAGATACTTTAAAAAATCAAACTTCTAGAGATGAAAACCACAACGTTTAAATATACATAATACCTAAAAGCACTGAATGTAATTCATAGTACACTAAACATTGAGAAGTCCCATGATCTGCAGTTGGCATGCTGGAGTTCCTGGGCCTTGGGAGGAGGCTCTGTGCAGGCCTCCCAGGGCCAGTCCCCTGGGGTCTGCTCTATACAGGTCACCCGAGGCGTTAGGGTGACCTCGGAGCCTGCCACTCCCGACAGCCAGACCCAGGGCCTGCGTTCTGCTCTATCCAGGGCCTCCCTGAAAGCCCCTGCCCGACTAGGCACAGCTGCAGCCGCCAAAGTCGGTGCAGTATACCCGGGGCTCCTGTGTGCTGGGAGCAGGCAGGAGCTCTGCCCACCCTGGGCGCGGCTGCAGCCACCCACGTCAGGGTTGTAGACTTGGGCCTCCATGTGCTCTTGAGGGCTGGGAGCAGGCAGGAGCCCCACACCCCCAGGCACAGCTGCAGCTGTCCAAATGGAGACAGTAGATGTGGGCCTCCGTGTGCTCTTGAGAGCCAGGGAAGGCCCCCTTTGCCATTGCAGGCTCAGAGGTGCCTGCTCCTACTGCCTGGTCTCTTCCCACTCTCTGCAACTGATCCAATCTAGGAGTAGGTGGAGCTGAGCCCAGGCACTGTCACAACCCTGCCAGGTATATGCATGATCGAGCCCTGCCACCTCAGCCCCCTCTGGATGTTGGGCCAGACAAGAGTGGATGCGGGCAAAGCGTTGGCCTGCAGGTGCCCCTTGGCACCATGAAAGGCGTCAGGAGGCAGACGGGCTCCTAGGTGGAAGGGAGTGGGTCCCTGTAAGGCCCCATCCTCAGGCCAGGAAGAGCCTGAAGGCTGGGGGTCAGGCTGCCACACCGGTGGACTGGAGTGGGGTCTTGTGGTGCCTTTTTCTGCCCACCCATGGCCACGGATGGACCACTCCATATGCACTTCCTCCCCTCTGAGGTCCATAAAAGCCCCAGGATCAGCAATAGCATGGTAGAGGACAACTGAGAGATGACGAGATGACCAGCTGCAGAGAGTAGCTATCCTCTCTGCTGAGAGCTGGGAAGTCAATGGGGACCTGCCTGCAGAGAGGAGCCACCTCTCCAAACACACCCAGAATGATGTTCGACCAAATATAGGCCTGTCTCATTTTATTGTGCTTCACTTTATTGCACCTGAAGGTTTGTGGCAACCTTGCAATGAGCAAATCTATCAGTATCATTTTTCCAACGGCATGTGCTCCCTTCATATCTCTATGTGACGTTTTGGTAATTCTCACAATATTTCAAACTTTTTCGTTATTATTGTATCGTTATTGTCAGGCCTCTGAGCCCAAGCTAAGCCATCGCATCCCCTGTGACCTGCATGTATATGCCCAGATGGCCTGAAGTAACTGAAGAATCACAAAATAAGTGAAAATGGCCTGTTCCTGCCTTAACTGATGACATTCCACCACAAAAGAAGTGAAAATGGCCGGTCCTTGCCTTAACTGATGACATTACCTTGTGAAATTCCTTTTCCTGGCTCATCCTGGCTCAAAAAACCTCCCCCACTGAGCACCTTGTGACCCCCACTCCTGCCCGCTAGAGAACAACCCCCCTTTGACTAATTTTCCTTTACCTACCCAAATCTTATAATATGGCCCCACCCCTATCTCCCTTAGCTGACTCTCTTTTCGGACTCAGCCCGCCTGCACCCAGGTGATTAAAAAGCTTTATTGCTCACACAAAGCCTGTTTGGTGATCTCTTCACACGGACGCGGGTGAAAGTTATGGTGACGTGTGATCAGTGATCTTTGATGTTACTATTGTAATTGTTTTAGGGAACCACAAACTGCCCATGTAAGTCAGTGAACTTAATTGATAAATGATGTATGTTTTGATTGCTCCACCCACTGGCTGTTCCACCATCTCTCCCTCTCTTCAGGCCTCTCTATTTTCTAAGACACAACAATATTGAAATGAGACCAATTAATAATCCTACAATGGCCTTTAAGTATTCAAGTGAAAGGAAGAGTCACATGTCTCTTATTTAAATCAAAAGCTAGAAATGATTAAGCTTAGTGAAGAAGGCCTATCAAAAGCCAAGACAGGCCAGAAGCTAGGGCTTTTGCACCAGTTAGCCAAGTTGTGAATGTAAAGAAAAGTTATTGAAAAAAATTAAAATGCGCTACTCCAGTAAACACATAAATAAGATAGCAAAACAGTCTTATTGCTGATATGGAGAAAATTTTTTGTGGTCTGGATAGAAAATTTTAAAAAGCTAGGGAAAAAAAGAAAAATAAATCCATGTCAGTAGAAGCCAGAAAATAATAAAGAAAATATTTAATAATTGAAAGTAATAAAATAGAAAATAATAGATAAATTAATTTTTGTATTTTTTGTAGAGACAGGGTCTCACCATGTTGCCCAGGCTGGTCTTGAACTCATGTGCTCTAGTGATCTGCCTGCCTTGGCCTCCCAAAGTGTTGGGATTGCAGGCATGAGCCACCTCGCCCTGCCTGAGTTAAACTTCTAGTGGAAAACCCCTTTTATATAAGCCACAAGCAGTTTCAGACTGTCCAATGTTATTATTACTAACATAAATTAATGTAGGCTTTCTTTTATCCTAGAGGAGTTGTGGAAAAACATCCTCATGGCATGAATTATGAGTCAGAATATTAAAGGCATAGACACAGGAGTTGGAAATTGAAAGTGTAGATGAAAAAAAAAGAAAAAGAATTTTACAATATCAAAATTAGATTTTTTCACTGAATTCAAAAAGGTCTCCACAAAACTTTTGTAAGGGATTCAAACCCTTCCTTTAAAAAATAAATAAATAAATATTTCTTAATATCAGTCTGTAGTTACTGTATCATCAGGAACAGGTTTTGAAAATTATTGTTTATGCTGAGAAAACAACTATCTGAATATAACTAATAACCATTATTACTAGATTGATTCTAGGAACATAGATAAATTTAAATTTATTTTTAAAAGACAAACATTTTTAATATTTGAAAATATAGGTCACCCTGAGCTTTCTAGTAATTGGAATGAATGACAATTGCTTTTGTTTGCTAACACATCCATTTGTCTACAATTTTCTTAATGTATTTAATTCTGAAATGATTCATTCAGTTTCGGTCTGATGAAGAGAGTAAAGTGAAAATATTACTCATCAATTGAAATATTACTATAGGGTCTTTTTGTAACTGATTTCTTTGTCATTGGATGCTCTTAGCATGTATTGATTAGATTTAATCAATCTTAAAAAAAAAGAAAAACACACATCTCTCAAATTTTAATGTGCCTTTATCTTGGAAAGTATTTTATTAAAGTTTATCCTATTTGAACTATCCCACAGTTTTCTCTAAATTATCCATTATTGTTGTATGTTGAAATTTTTGGATTATTTGTCTACTAACCACCATGTATAATATTGAATCCACCTACCATCTGTATCCAAAGCTTTTACAAAAACATTGATCAGATCACAATCAAAGTCAATGTTAAAATAGAAAATTCTTTCCTCAAAATGAAAAAAACCTGAGTATTTTTTAATCATTCATTAATTGTCTCTTATTGTTCATAAACAGCCTTATGAAAACGTGTGATCCTTACTGAGACACCATATTGTGGTACTTAATGTGGTACTATATTTGTCACTGGAGATCAAAATAAAGTTTATTGGTCTGCAACATTTACAATTCAGTTTCTTATATTTATATATATAATTCATATATATAATACACATAATATAAATCATATACATTATATATATATATATATACACACACACACGGGAACTTAGAGCTATTTTTAAACATTTGCCAAGTAGAATATACAATATATTAAATTTTTGATATTAAAAGTTTTAAAAAATTTTCTTTCAATGCTAAGAAGGTAGATTTTATGTTAAGTGTCCTTATCATGATTTCAAAAATGCCTTTTCCAAGGCATTCAATTAGGAAAAGAGGAAGTCAAATTGTCCCTCTTTGCAGATGATATGATTGTATATCTAGAAAACCCCATCGTCTCAGCCCAAAATCTCCTTAAGCTGATAGGCAACTTCAGCAAAGTCTGAGGATAAAAAATCAATGTGCAAAAATCACAAGCATTCTTATACACCGATAACAGACAGAGAGCCAAATCATGAGTGAACTCCCATTCACAATTGCTTCAAAGAGAATAAAAACCTAGGAATCCAACTTACAAGGGATGTGAAGGACCTCTTCAAGGAGAACTACAAACCACTGCTCAATGAAATAAAAGAGGATACAAACAAATGGAAGAACATTCCATGCTCATGGGTAGGAAGAATCAATATCGTGAAAATGGCCATACTGCCCAAGGTAATTTATAGATTCAATGCCATCCCCATCAAGCTACCAATGACTTTCTTCACAGAGTTGGAAAAAACTACTTTAAAGTTCATATGGAACCAAAAAAGAGCCTGCATTGCCAAGTCAATCCTAAGCCAAAAGAACAAAGCTGGAGGCATCACACTACCTGACTTCAAACTATACTACAAGGCTACAGTAACCAAAATAGCATGGTACTGGTACCAAAACAGATATAGACCAATGGAACAGAACAGAGGCCTCAGAAATAATGCCACATATCTACCAGTATCTGATCTTTGACAAACCTGACAAAAACAAGCAATGGGGAAAGGATTCTCTATTTAATAAATGGTGCTGGGAAAACTGGCTAGCCATATGTAGAAAGCTGAAACTGGATCCCCTCCTTACACCTTATACAAAAATTAATTCAAGATGGATTAAAGACTTCAATGTTAGACCTAAAACCAGAAAAACCCTAGAACAAAACCTAGGCAATACCATTCAGGACATAGGCATGGGCAAGGACTTCATGTCTAAAACACCAAAAGCAATGGCAACAAAAGCCAAAATTGATAAATGGAATCTAATTAAACTAAAGAGCTTCTGCACAGCAAAAGAAACCACCATCAGAGTGAACAGGCAACCTACAGAATGGGAGAAAATTTTTGCAACCTACTCATCTGACAAAGGGCTAATATCCAGAATCTACAATGAACTCAAACAAATTTACAAGAAAAAAACAACCCCATCAAAAAGTGGGCAAAGGATATGAACAGACACTTCTCAAAAGAAGACATTTATGGAGCCAAAAAACACATGAAAAAATGCTCATCATCACTGGCCATCAGAGAAATGCAAATCAAAACCACAATGAGATACCATCTCACACCAGTTAGAATGGCAATCATTAAAAAGTCAGGAAATAACAGGTGCTGGAGAGGATACGGAGAAACAGGAACACTTTTACACTGTTGGTGGGACTGTAAACTAGTTCAACCATTGTGGAAGTCAGTGTGGCAACTCCTCAGGGATCTAGAACTAGAAATACCATTTGACCCAGCCATCCCATTACTGGGTATATACCCAAAGGATTATAAATCATGCTGCTAGAAAGACACATGCACACATATGTTTATTGTGGCGCTATTCACAATAGCAAAGACTTGGAACCAACCCAAATGTCCAACAATGATAGACTGGATTAAGAAAATGTGGCACATATACACCATGGAATACTATGCAGCCATAAAAAAATGATGAGTTCATGTCCTTTGTAGGGATATGGATGAAGCTGGAAACCATCATTCTCAGCAAACTATCACAAAGGACAAAAACCCAAACATCGCATGTTCTCACTCATAGGTGGGAATTGAACAATGAGATCACATGGACACAGGAAGGGGAACATCACACTCTGGGGCCTGTTGTGGGGTGGGGGGAGTGGGGAGGGATAGCATTAGGAGATATACCTAATGCTAAATGACTAGTTAATGGGTGCAGCACACCAACATGGCACATGTATACATATGTAACAAACCTGCACGTTGTGCACATGTATCCTAAAATTTAAAGTATAATTTTAAAAAATGCCTTTTCCATAATCACACATATTTAAGAATGGAATTCATTCACTTTTGAGTAAAAATTATTCATCTGGGGGATTGTTAAAATGAGGGCTGGATTATCAGTTTCAGAGTAATTTTAGAAAAGACAACATGTTTGAAGAAAGTTTAGCTCTCTAAGTCATGGTTTTATTCTGAGATTCTTTGATTCTACTATTATGTCTGGGTTTATGTAAATAATTACTAAGTATTCCTTTTTTTTTTTACATAAGGCCAGTGCAATCATGCATGATTTTATTGGTGACCAGTTAAAATGAAACTGTTAATTAATGAAAAAAATCCTTTTTACTAGAAAAACCTGTGAACCTGTGTTACAGAAAACGAGTTATGTATAATATTCATTTTTTTAACCTGAAATGCATCGACTACAAGAGTTAGCTAAACCAAGATAATAATTAACTACTTCCCACTGAGGCAATTCCCTGAGGGAGAGGTCCATGAAATCCCCTGCTTTGAACTCATAGTTTTTATCTGAAACACCAACTTTCCTGCACAGGATTTTTGTCCCCAGTGCCTGGACAGCACTGGCTTCATTTCAAATACCCCTTAGTTAATAGGAAATTTAAATGTCCCTGGGCAGTTACATCCTGTTTGGTCCTATATAAAAGCGTTTCAGTCCTTTCCTTACATGGAAATTTCACTGACTGAAACACCAGCTTGATTCTAGAACAAAGATGCTCAGTCTCAGGATCAATTGAGATTTGTTTCTACCGAGAGATCCACTCTGGTGAGTAAAACTTCTTCAAATTTTATGGAATTTATCCAACATTTATGTAGCACCTGCTTAGTGCCAGCGACTATGCGAGTCTTCAAAGTTATAACTCTAAATAAGATACATAATTTCTCACTCCTTAACTAAGAACAGTTTAAATAAGCTGCGATATCTATGCAAATAAGGTAGTATAAATTATAAAAAAGTATATAAAGCATAAAAAAGTTAGTATAAATTATAAGGAATCTTAAATGAATGCAATCTGGGCTCCAAAGAGTGACAATTCTTCTTGGGTCGACAGTTAAACTCAGGTGAATTATAAATGGAAAGAGACAATGTAGCTGTGTTAAAAGATAGTTAAGTATTTGCCAAACAAATGAGGGGAGATTTTTTTTCTTTTTTTTTCTTTTTTTTTTCTTTTTTTTTTTTTTTTTTGAGACGAGTCTCGCTCTGTCACCCAGGCTGGAGTGCAGTGGCGCGACCTTGGCTCACTGTAACCTCCGCCTCCTGGGTTCAAACAATTCTCCTGCCTCAGCCTCCCTAGTAGCTGGGATTACAGGTGCCCACCACCGTGCCCGGCTAATTTTTGTATTTTTAGTAGAGATGGGGTTTCGCCATTTTGGCCAGGCTGGTTTTGAACTCCTGACCTCAGGTGATCTGCCCACCTCAGCCTCCCAAAGTGCTGGGATTACAGGTGTGAGCAACCGTGCTCAGCCATGAGGGGCAATTCTAATGGGAGGACTTCCAGACAGGAGGGATAGTGTGATTTAAGAAAAGAAACACAGCATGGTGATACAACCTGATTGATTTATTAAGAGTAATTAAGTCAGTCGCCATTATTAGACATGGAGATTGGCATGGGGTTAGAGAAGTCACAATGATAGATAATACTGGAATGGCAGTCAGGAAGCATTGTAAAGATATTGTTTGCCATCCTAAGCTTTTTGGGCATCATTGCATAATCAAGTCAATAAAGAGCTAAAAGCTAAATTAATGTTACAAGATGTGATCTGCATCACCATTTGTCCTGGCAACAGCATTGAAGTTGGATTAGAAATACATAAAACTGAAGAATAAAATATTGCCAGAGATAATGAAGGTTTGAACTAATCTGTACGTGTGACAGCAAGATGTAATAACTACAACAGATAGTAAGCAAATAAAATTTTGGTGTTTGATTGGATATACAGATTAAAGCAAAGTTGTGCCATTCTTTGAAATAGGTCACAGTGACAGGGAGATGTCTGGGAGAAGAGATGAGTCCTTATGGGAAAGACCCATTCAGGGACAGTGATGTGCCAACCGTGAAGCAGGATATGAGGACCTGCAACCCAGGGGACCTGCAACCCAGAAGACCTATGGTAGTGCTCGAAACAGCAGACTATTATTTTCTATTGTGTAGGAAAATAGTTAATCTGTCTTCTTTAAAAGGCACAGGAATATTTTTGAGTAAACAAAAGTACAGAAAGAAAGTGTCAGGACAAATTTTTGGAAACCATCAAATTTCAATAAATGTTAAAAGAAGACCCAGATAACGAGACTAAGAAAAAATATTCAGAGAGGAAATAGAAAACCAGAACTAAGTGGCATAGAGCCAATGGAAGTCAGCTGTTTTAGAAGAAAGAACTGTATAATAGTGTCATATATTTGAGAAACAAAATTTAAAATAAAAACAAAATAGAAAGAGTGCATTGAATTTACCGTTGTGATAGTTATTTGTGGATTTGCTGGAGCTGTTTGTGAGGACTCATGAAGCAAGAATGATTAACATGGTTCAAGAATTGAACCAAATGTGCCAGGGCACAGAATGATACCCTATTCTGCTCATAAAGCATGGCTGTAAAGAGAAGGGACATTATAAGTAAGTCCTAAGTGTGGAGTGAAGACTTTTCTTTTTCTTTAAAATGGATGAGTCTTAAGATTATCTCTATCTATCTATCTATCTATCTATCTATCTATCTATCTATCTATCATCTATCTATCTCTAATCTATCATCTATCAACAGAGCATAGTGAAACAATCTGGTTCATTAAGAGTAATCTCAGTAAATCAACATTATTAGAATTTTTAGACATGGAGTTTGTGTTGATTTTATACACACACATATACAGACACACACACACACATAAAATGTGCACTATTATGAAAGAGAGAGAGAGAGCAAGTGCATACTGTGGCAAAGATGCCCTTTGCGATAGAGCAAGGTTGAGTATAGGGTTGGTCACTGACTTGGAAAGGAAAAAAGAGCTCTTTCTCTGCCTTTGAAACCCTAGAGTGGGTGGAATTAAATCATGTTAGAGATCATTTCGTTTATATACAGGTAGGAAACTGAGGGGCTTAACATATAATTACCTATGTTTTCTCATTGAAGTTATTGGCAATGCTACCTCCCAGGAAATAGAGGAAAATAGTGAAGAAGAGACACAGGATGCTAACTCTTTAGAGCAGCTACTGGAATGAATTAGAGTTTACCTACATAACATATTTGCACATGTACCACTGAACCTAAAAGAGAACTACTTTCAAAAAAATTGAGGGTTTCAACATATGAGAGGTAAAAAACGGAAAAGTTTAGAAATGTTTTGTAGGATAAAATTTGCATACAAGTGGTTAGTGAAGACAGAAAAAAATGCTTGGGGGAAACAAATGACATTGAAAGAATCATTATACTCTCCACCAAAAAATGTTTAGTTTTATTATAAATAAAGTATTTAATGCAGGTATGACTTGGAAGGATTGAACACAGGTTTTATATGTTCTCGCAGTATCATCCTTAATCCTAAGAGTATCTCCACACGTATATGATTCCCTTCCTTCTTATTTGATAAGTGATGAATTAATCAATACAATTTGGAACTAGTGAAATTAAAATGATGAAATTTTCCATTTATTAATCAGATATAAAAATTATTATCTATGTCTTCAAAGAAAATAAAAATGAAAATAGGTTGGTGGGAGTTGTTGAGAGGAGAATATGGTGTGTGCATTCAAGTTTTTTCTTACGATTTTTCTCCTCCTTCCCTCTATGGAGAAACCTTAATGGGGAGGCTAAATGATAGAGGTTTTTCTTAGATTACATTAACAATGTGTATTAGAAGTGGTAAGTAACACGATGCTTTTGATTTTCAAGCCAGAGACAGTAAGTTTTAAAATATAAGTGAATTGCTTTCATCTATTCACATTTTATTTTAAATTCCAAAACTACCATCCAATATTTGGAGCAAGTTAAGCCAGGCATTAAGATTGGCAGCACTGGGGATTAAGCTATATCTTATGGAGGACCAGGAAAACTGTAGGAGCAAGAAAGCTAGAGAAACTTTGAAGAAAGTAACCCCTGTTTTCCTCTGATTCCTACTGCCATGAAGCAGGGGATGTGACCATCAGTGAGGGATTAAGGGCCCTTCCAGCCCTGAGACTGTTCCTTGTGGAAAAAAAAAATTTCCTAAAAATTAGTTTCAGTCAGTTCTCAAAATAAATTACAGCAAAATCAAAAAGATCTTGGTTTAAGTGATTTTTAACCTTTTCCTACAGCTTAGGGATTAATAAATGAAACAAACTACAATATCAGATGCAGTTACTTCAAAATCAGATGCATTAACTCATGTAACTTAGCCATTAAGTTTTTGTCTATATAGAACTGAAATCAATTATGTAGATATCCCGTTAAATAAGTATTTACTTAGAACCTATATGTTAGATGCCTTTGGTCAAGGGTGAAGAAATGGACAGAAATGATGAAGGAATAGTCTTTGTGCAGAAGAAACTCAGTGAAAATGATACTGATTGACCTTTCAACAAATGCACAGATTTAAAAAGAAAAAAAAGAGGCAAAAATTAGTTAGCAGAGTGATTCTGATACACAAAATAATTCTATGATGGTGTTGATTCTATAATAATAGCACATTTAAAATGAAATAGGAAAAGTTACATCATTTAATCCTCCTAACAATTGTTACATCTGGTATAGATTTTTTTTTTGTTTGGTTGGTTATTTTAAGAAATGGGCTCCCACTATCTAATATATTTCAAGTCCTAGAAAGAAATATATATATATATTTTTTCATTCAGGAACTCACAATGAGACACAGCACTAGAAAGATATATACTCTACTACCTAGCATTCTGCCTATCACATAGATTTTAGAAAATCTCTTTATTTCTTCAAATGGATTTGATTGAAAATGTCCAACCCCAAGTTGTCATAAGAATTTTGAGAATTAAACGTTCTTTGACGGTGAACCTTTGTCACTTAGTTGCAAGATCTCCAAAGCTCAGGATTCAATGCCTGATATCAGTGGCATCTGCATTTTACAATTTTGAGACATTTCATTTTTCAAAATTTCTATGAAAAGTTTATTACAATCAAATGTAATCTTTTTAAAGTGTTAAGAGCTTTTCAAAGGAAAAAATATGACTGTTCTTTGAGCTAACCTCTCTTCTAGATTAGCTTCTGAGCTGTTTCTAGATCTGCCTCTGAGCTGTTTCTAGATCCATTTGCAAGGTGGTATCAATAACTTCATGTTAGCTGGTTAGCAAAAGAAGCTATATAGTGCATCGTTGTAATACTAAGGCATCATATAGAAGATGTAATGAGATTGGTATGCTAGAATCATTTTCATTGACTTTATTGAAGGTAAAGACTTTATCATTTCCATCAATTTCTCCCTCTTTGACAATGCAAACTCTGCTCCAGAAAATGTTTATGACTTGTTGATCACATTCAGGGATTCTATTTCTGAATAATTGCTAAAACGTTTTTGAATTGAATATTAACTAATCGCAATGAAAATAAATTCATCTCATTTCAATACCTCCATGCTGAGGAATTGAGTTACTTGACACACAAATATATTAGATGTCATGCATTTTCTTCCTACTGTCTTTGGCTTCCTAAACAGAGTCACACTTGGTATCTTCAGAGAGACTATGGTCAATTTGACTTCAACGAGTGGATTCCTTCTTATGGGGTTTTCTGATGAGCGTAAGCTTCAGATTTTACATGCATTGGTATTTCTGGTGACATACCTGCTGGCCTTGACAGGCAACCTCCTCATTATCACCATCATTACCGTGGACCGTCGTCTCCATTCCCCCATGTATTACTTTTTAAAGCACCTCTCTCTTCTGGACCTCTGCTTCATCTCTGTCACAGTCCCCCAGTCCATTGCAAATTCACTTATGGGCAACGGTTACATTTCTCTTGTTCAGTGCATTCTTCAGGTTTTCTTCTTCATAGCTCTGGCCTCATCAGAAGTGGCCATTCTCACAGTGATGTCTTATGACAGGTACGCAGCAATCTGTCAACCACTTCATTATGAGACTATTATGGATCCCCGTGCCTGTAGGCATGCAGTGATAGCTGTGTGGATTGCTGGGGGCCTCTCTGGGCTCATGCATGCTGCCATTAACTTCTCCATACCTCTCTGTGGGAAGAGAGTCATTCACCAATTCTTCTGTGATGTTCCTCAGATGCTGAAACTAGCCTGTTCTTATGAATTCATTAATGAGATTGCACTGGCTGCATTCACAACGTCTGCAGCATTTATCTGTTTGATCTCCATTGTGCTCTCCTACATTCGCATCTTCTCTACAGTGCTGAGAATCCCATCAGCTGAGGGCCGGACCAAGGTCTTCTCCACCTGCCTACCACACCTATTTGTAGCCACCTTCTTTCTTTCAGCTGCAGGCTTTGAGTTTCTCAGACTGCCTTCTGATTCCTCATCGACTGTGGACCTTGTATTCTCCGTATTCTATACTGTGATACCTCCAACACTCAATCCAGTCATTTATAGCTTACGGAATGATTCCATGAAGGCAGCACTGAGGAAGATGCTGTCAAAGGAAGAGCTTCCTCAGAGAAAAATGTGCTTAAAAGCCATGTTTAAACTCTGAAGAACCATACAAATGAAAGGCATTGTTATTATGTTTCAGATTGGAAGAGAGGTGAATCTTATTTCTACCCAGAATGCTCTTCCAAGCTGTCTATTGTATATATTCCTCTCAAATATAATTCTTTAAAATTTAAGATGTTGTGCTCTAATAATATTAGCTTTCCTTCCTCCCTCCAATTCAAGTGTTATTTTAAGTCATCTTTGGAAAATTTTTCTGAAATGAAGGAGAAAGACAATTAGTTTGGAGTCTGGCCTGTATAATTTAAAACTTGTTATTAACAAATAAGGTTGGAGATAGATGAAGCTAACTGGGTTAATATTATGGTGCATATATGGTATTTCCAGTGGGCCTCCTAGTTTTCTATCCATATTAAGTATTCATATTAAGTTCTTTTACTATTATTACAGTGGTGATTTCAACAATTTATTCAGCCCCTAGTAAGTATCAAGTGCTTTATATATATACATTTTTTTGACTCAAGAAAACAACTCTTCTAGCTATAACATATTGTCCCCATTTTGCCAATAGGAACAATAAATTTAGGAAGGATTAGTTAATTTTCCTGAGATTTCTCAAATAAATGGTAGTTAAGCTCTGATTCAAATTAATATTTGTCTGACTCAAACAATAAGGTCATTTATGTTCCTTACTGATGGCAAATGCATTATTACCCAAATGTGAGTGTGTATGTTTATGTGTGTGTGTGATGTGTATAATCTATAAATATAAGCATATACTACTATAATCTATTAATAAAATTGTCATCACCCTTGTGCATCCCTATTACTGGAGGTATTTATATTAATTCCTTTACTTTTCTGATCTGTACAAGAGTTTGACAAATTGGTTTTACAGAGTTAGGCAGGGGATGCTCCCTAGTTCCATGAAACAGAATATAGATAAACTGCAAATGAAGAGTTCCAACTTATGAATGTGTGAGATAAGGAGGCACAAATCTTGTGAATCTGAATATCTGATTCAATTTTGTGTAATGCTGCAGATTTCTTCAAGAAAGACTCATAATTTACAAGAGTACAAAACTGGACTAGTCCCCTCAGTTTTGAAGTAAATCAAAGTGCATGTTTTAATGACAAAGGGAATAAGCAATTGCTCAGTAATGGGGAATGTTTTTATAGGACTTTTTTGAATTAATGGTTATAATATCTACATATGCATATACCTTAGTAAGTTTTTTTTTCTTTAATCTGCCACATGAGATTTTTTCTTTTTTTTATATACTTTAAGCTCTGGGGTACATGTGCAGAACTTGCAGGTTTGTTACGTAGGTATATACATGCCATGGTGGTTTGCTGCACCCATCAACCTGTCAACTACGTTAGGTATTTCTCCTAATGCTATCCCTCCCTTACCCCCTCACCCCCAAACAGGCCCCAGTGTGTGATGTTCCCCTACCTGTGTCCATGTGTTCTCATTGTTCAGCTCCTACTTATGAGTGAGAACATGCAATGTTTAGTTTTATGTTCTTGTGTTAGTTTGCTGAGAATGATGGTTTCCAGCTTCATCCATGTCCCTGCAAAGGACATGAAATCATCTTTTTTATGGCTGCATAGTATTCCATAGTATTCCATGGGTGTATATGTGCCACCTTTTCTTTATCCAGTGTATTATTGATGGGCATTTGGGTTGGTTTCAAGTCTTTGCTATTGTGAACAGTGCCACAATAAACATACGTGTGCATGTGTCTTTATAGTAGAATGATTTATAATCCTTTGGGTATATACCCTGTAAAGGGATTCCTGGGTCAAATGGTATTTTTGGTTCTAGATCCTTGAGGAATCGCCACACTGTTTCCACAATGGTTGAACTAGTTTACAGTCCCACCAACAGTGTAAAAGTGTTCCTGTTTCTCCACGTCCTCTCTAGCATCTGTTGTTTCCTGCCTTTTTAATGATAGCCATTCTAACTGGCATGAGATGGTATCTCATTATGGTTTTGATTCACATTTCTCTGATAACCAGTGATGATGAGCTTTTTTTCATATGTTTGTTGGCCACATAAATGTCTTATTTTAAAAAGTGTCTGTCAGGCCGGGGCATTGGCTCATGCCTGTAATCCCAGCATTTTAGGGGGCCGCAGCAGGCAGATCACGAGGTCAGGAGATTGAGACCATCCTGGCTAACATGGTGAAACTCCATCTCAACTAAAAATACAAACACTTAGCTGGGCGTGGTGCCATGAACCTGTAATCCCGGCTACTCAGGAGGCTGAGGCAGGAGAATCGCTTGAACCTGGAGAATCCCAAAAGTGTCTGTTCACATCCTTCGCCCACATTTTGATGGGGTTGTTTGTTTTTTTCTTGTAAATTTGTTTAAATTCTTTGTAGATTCTGGATATTAGCCCTTTGTCAGATGGATAGATTACAAAAATTTTCTCCCATTCTGTAGGTTGCCTATTCACTCTGCTGATGATTTCTTTTCCTGTGCAGAAGCTCTTTAGTTTAATTTGATCCCATTTGTCAATTTTGGCTTTTGTTGTCATTGCTTTTGATGTTTTAGTCATGAAGTCTCTGCCCATGCCTAAATCCTGAATGGTATTGCCTAGGTTTTCTTCTTGGGTTTTTATGGTTTTAGGTCTTACGTTTAAGTCTTTAATCCATCTTGAGTTAATTTTTGTATAAGGTATAAGGAAGGAGTCCAGTTTCAGTTTTCTGCATATGGCTAGCCAGTTTTCTCAACAGCATTTATTAAATAGGGGATTCTTTCCCCATTGCTTGTTTTTGTCAAGTTTGTCAAAGATCAGATGGTTGTAGATGTGTGGCATTATTTCTGAGGCCTCTGTTCTGTTCTGTTGGTCTATATATCTGTTTTGGCACCAGTAACATGCTGTTTTGGTTACTGTAGCTTTGTAGTATACTTTGAAGTCAGGTAGCATGATGCTTCCAGCTTTGTTCTTTTTGCTTAGGATTATCTTGGCTATGTGGGCTCTTGTTTGGTTCCATATGAAATTTAAAGTAGTTTTTTCCTATTCTGTGAAGAAAGTCAATGGTAACTTGATGGGGATAGCATTGAATCTATAAATTACTTTGGGCAGTATGGCCATTTTTCATGATATTGATTCTTCCTACCCATGAGGATGGAATGTTTTTCCATTTGTTTGTGCCCTCTCTCCTTGAGCAGTGGTTTGTAGTTCTCCTTGAAGAGGTCCTTCACATGCCTTGTAAGTTGTATTCCTGGGTATTTTATTCTCTTTGTAGCAGTTATGAATGGGAGTTCACTCATGATTTGGCTCTCTGTTTTTTTTATTATTGGTGTATAGGAATGCTTGTGGTTTTTGCACATTGATTTTGTATCCTGAGACTTTGCTGAAATTGCTTATAAGCTTAAGGAGATTTTGGGCTGAGACGATGGGGTTTTCTAAGTATAGAATCATGTCATCTGCAAACAGAGACAATTTGAATTCCTCTCTTTCTATTTGAATACCTTTTATTTTTTTCTCTTGCCTGATTGCCCTGGCCAGAACTTCCAACATTATGTTGAATAAGAGTGGTGAGAGAGGGCATCCTTGTCTTGTGACAGTTTTCTCAGGGAATGCTTCCAGGTTTTGCCCATTCAGTATGATATTGGCTGTGAGTTTGTCATAGATAGCTTTTATTATTTTGAGATACATTCCATCAATATCTAGTTTATTGAGAGTTTTTAGCATGAAGGGCTGCTGAATTTTGTCGAAGGCCTTTTCTGCATCTATTGAGATAATCATGTGGTTTTTGTCATTGGTTCTGTTTATGTGATAGATTCCATTTATTGATTTGCATATTTGAATCAGCTTTGCATCCCAGGAATGAAGCTGACTTGATCATGGTAGATGAGCTTTTTGATGTGCTGCTGGATTCGGTTTGCCAGTATTTTATTGAGGATTTTCACATCAATGTTCATCAGGGATATTGGCCTGAAATTTTCTTTTTTTGTTGTGTCTCTGCCAGGTTTTGGTATCAGGTTGATGCTGGCCTCATAAAATGAGTTATGGAGGATTCCCTCTTTTTCTATTGTTTGGAATATTTTCAGAAGGAATGGTACCAGCTCCTTTTTGTACTTGCGGTAGAATTCGTCTGTGAATCTGTCTGGTTCTGGGCTTTTCTTGGTTGGTAGGCTATTAACTACTACCTCCATTTCAGAACTTGTTATTGGTCTATTCAGGCATTAGACTTCTTCCTGGTTTAGTCTTGGAAGGGTTTATGTGTCCAGGCATTTATCCATTTTTTCTAGATTTTCTAGTTTATTTGCATAGAGATGTTTATAGTATTCCCTGATGGTAGTTTCTATTTCTGTGGGATCAGCAGTGATATGCCATTTATCATTTTTATAGTGTCTATTGATTTTTCTCTCTTGTCTTCTTTATTAGTCTGGCTAGCAGTCTACTTTGTTAATTATTTCAAAAAAACCAGCTCCTGGATTCATTGATTTTTTGAATTTTTTTGTGTGTGTCTCTATCTCCTTCATTTCTGCTCTGATCTTAGTTATTTCTTGTCTTCTGCTAGCTTTTGAATTTGTTTTCTCTTGCTTCTCTAGTTGTTTTAATTGCGATATTAGAGTGTCGATTTTAGATCTTTCCTGCTTTCTCCTGTGGGCATTTAGTGCTATAAATTTCCCTTTAAACACTGCCTTAGCTGTACTCCTGCAGCTAGCTCAGTCTCTGCGCAAACAGCCGCCCAGTTTTGTGCTTGAAACCCAGGACCCCAGTAGCGTAGGCACCCAAGGGAATCTACTGTTCTGTGGTTTGCGAAATCCATGGGAAAAGCGTAGTATCTGGGCTGGAGTGCACTGTTCCTCATGGCTCAGTCCCTCATGGCTTCCCTTGGCTAGGGGAGGGAGTTGTCTGACCCCTTGCGCTTCCCGGGTGAGGCGATGCCCCACCCTGCTTCGGCTAGCCCTCCCTGGGCTGCACCCACTGTCTAACCAGTCCCTGTGAGATTAGTCGGGTATCTCAGTTAGAAATGCAGAAATCATCTGGCTTCTGCATTGATCTCAGTGGGAGCTGCAGACCGAAGCTGTTTCTATTCCACCATCTTTCCAGCCACCCACACTGATTTCTAAAGTAGTTGTTCCATATTATATTCCCTAGATAATCAAGAATTGTTATAAAGGGCTGGGCGTGGTAGCTCACGCCTGTAATCCCAGCACTTTGGGAGGCCGAGGTGGACGGATGACGAGGTCAGGAGATCAAGACCATCTTGGCTACCTTGTCAGGTGTTTTGAAAAACTTTTAGCTTTTTAAACACATTCATGGTGATATATATCGATGAGTTTATTTTGTATTGCCCTGTTCAACAAGGTTGAACATCTTTTCCTGGACTTATTAGTTATTTGTGTGTCTTCATTTGTGAAGTTTTTGCTCAGACACTTGGCCCATTTTTAAAACAAGTTGTTAATCTTTCTATTATGAAGACATTTACATATGTGTGTATATATGTATATATACTGGATAAAAATCTTTTGTCAGATACACGTATTACAGATGTTTTTTCTAATCTCCTGTGATTGTCTTTTTTTTCCATCAGGTTCTTTTGGAGAGTAAAACTTTAAAAATTTTGATGTAGTTCAATCTATCAACTTTGTGTTTTATAATTCATGTTTGGTGTCCTATCTTCCAAAAATACCTTCTTTAAAATTACAAAGTTTTTTTTCTTTTGAGACAGGGTCTCACTCTGTCACCCAGGCTGGAGTGCAGTGGTGCAATCTTGGCTCACTGCAACCTCCGCCTCCTGGTTCAAGCAATTCTCGTGCCTCAGACTCTCAAGTAGCTGAGATTACAAGTGTGTGCTGCTATGCTGGCTCATTTTCTTTCTTTCTGTCTTTTTTGTTTGTTTGTTTGTATTTTTAATAGAGATGGGATTTCAGTATGTTGGCCAGGCTGGTTTTGAACTCCTCACCTCAAATGATCCACCTGCCTTGGCCTCCTAATATGCTGGGATTACAGGCATGAGCCACCGCGCCCGGCCTAAAATTATAAAGGTATTTTTCTATGTGACCATTTAGAAAATGAATAGTTTTAGCTTCTATATTAATTAAGTCTGTGATCCTTATTGAGTTAATTTTTGAGTGTAGTATAAAGTGAGTGTTAATGATCATTCTTTTTCTATACAGATATATAGTTTTTAGTGTGATTTATTGAAAAGACATTATTTTCCCCCATTGATTTGCCTTAGCACCTTGTCAATATATGGGCTTACTATTCTTTTTCATTGATCTATGTGTTTATTTTTAACTAATACCATACCATACTGATTTCAGCAACTTTATAACGATTTTTTTTTGAGACGGAGTCTTGCTCTGTCGCCCAGGCTGGAGTGCAGTGGCACCATCTCGGCTCACTGCAAGCTCCGCCTCCTGGGTTCACGCCATTCTCCTGCCTCAGCCTCCTAAGTAGCTGGGACTATAGGCGCCCACCACCATGCCTGGCTAATTTTTTTGTATTTTTAGTAGAGACGGGGTTTCACCGTGGTAGCCAGGATGGTCTCGATCTCCTGACCTCGTGATCCGCCCACCTCGGCCTCCCAAAGTGCTGGGATTACAGGCATGAGCCACCACGCCGTGCCCTTTATAACAATTCTTGAAGTCAGGTAGTTTAATGCCTCTAATCTTTTGATTTTCTAGGCTTTGATTTTCCAAGTCTTCTGCATTTCCATATACACTTTAGAATTAGCTTGTTAATTCGTACTAAAAAGAAGCATGCTGGCATTTTTATTAGGATTGCATCAAATCTATAGATCATTTCTGAGAAAATAGAAGTCTTAATATTGAGTCATTTAATTCATAAACACAACATAGCTTCCCATTTTTTAGGTCTTTAATTTCTTTCAGTAACGTTACATGGCTTTCAGTGAGGCAGTCTTGTTCCTTTATTAAATTTATTACTAATTATTCACATTTTAAGTTTTGAATACAAAAATTACACTTCATGCTCCTTAAATTGTTTCAAATGTTGTAGAAATAACATTAAAATAAGAATTTCCTCTTTAATAGTGATTCCTAGAGGTTATCACTATTTTAATTTTGATATATATATATAGACAAAATTGCATATATTATTTCTTTTTTCCTTTTATTATGTGGTTGGATCTCAAGTGCAGAAGGTTGAGTTCATTACATTTATCAGTTCATGGCACCCTGTCCTCATTAATATGTGCACGATCTCTCTCATCTTACTTTATTTAAAACATTTCTTTCCTGTCTGTTTCTACTACCATTCCCCCTAAGGAAAACAATTATTATAAGTTTCATGTGTAACATTTTATGGGCTCTTAATTTCTATTAGTATTGTTGTTTTAGGATATTTTATTCTATAAAATAGTATTACATTATAATCTTATTCAGTTTCTTACTTTTTTTCACTCAGCACACTACTTTTAAGAGCTATCACGTTACAATGTCTACATCTAGCCCACTTTTTCTAAAAACTGCATTTTTTTGATGTTGTACATCCTCAACCTTCGCAAATCTGCTCTCCCGTTGATGGACATCTGGGTTGCTTCTAATTCCCCATTACCATAAATTATGCCAAACAACTGTTGTTATGGACCTGTGTAAGGATTTATTTAGGATATATACCTGGAAGCAAAATTGCTCAGGTCCAATATATGAGAGACTTAATTTGAATTTTTATACCCAGAATGTGCTCCAGAATGCTTCCATGAGGCTACACTCCTACCAGCGGGGCAGACGTGTTCCTGTCATTTCCTCACCTGTCCCAATTCTTGGCACTACCCTGCTTTCTAATACTTACTACTCAAATAGAATACAATGTTACCTCACTTTTAAACTTTGGAGAAATTTTAAACCTGTAAAAAATTTGTAAAAACAATACAGAGGCTTCTCTTTTTATCCCTCACCTTGTTTCCCTAATGTTACTATCTTAACAAAATCATAACACTTCTCTCTTTATAAAATAGCCTAAATAGCTTGAGGTGTTTTTTTATTTTTGTTTTTTCGCTTTTAACTTTTTGGAACACTTTTTGCTCATATCTCTCGATCTGCTTTCTTATGCCTGTGCTAGCGTATAATAAAACTATAATAATAATAATGACATGTAATAAGTACTACTTATGCCAAGGATTATTCTAGGCTTCAAAGGTATTATTGTGTTCAACATTTACAATAAATCTTGTGAGGCAAATAATATTGATATTCCTACTTTAAAGATAAGGAAATTAAGGCACAGGTCACTAATCAACTTATCTACAGTCACTAGCAAACTACTAGCTAACCTGGGACTCAAACTCAAGGCAGTTTGGCCCCCAAGTTTTCATTCTTTACCACTATGGTATTTTAAGGAAAAATTCGATATTATTTTATGAATATAGTTTTGCTTCTCTTTTTTTCAGTTGCAAAAGACCTAACGCATCTGATATATCAAAATATATCAGTCAACCATTATGCAGAAAAGGGTTAACTTTTCATGTCTGTGTTGCAGAACCCTGTATATTCCCAAGAAAGGCCTATATTCAGGACTGGCCCTTGGCAGGCTCCTGGAAGAGGAGCTCTAAGTTCTTTGAATATCCTGCCTAATAAAATGTTTTTTTTAAAATAATTTGTTTTATTGGGTCACAATATAAATTTGATCAGATAGATTATGCTAACAAGGTGATTTATGGTGCCTATTTTTGCTCTGGTGGGCTGGGGTCTGAGTAGCTGAGGTCAGTTACACAGGTGCCGTATGCCTACCTGACTGATCCCCCATAAAAACCTTCTACATCAAACTTGAGTGAACTTCCTGGTTGGCATTATTCTGCATGTGTTATCGTACCATTGATGGCACAATTAAGCACATCAATGTAACTCACTGGAAGAAAACACCTGGAAGCTTATTCCTGGTTTCTCCTAGACTCCCGGCACCTCATGCACTTTTTCCCTTTGTTCATTTTTAATATGATAACTTTTCAATACTAACAGGGACACAAATATGCACATAACACATTATGCCATGTCTTATATCTTTCTTGAGTTGACGTTCTATGAGATATATTATCACATCAACACATGAGTTAAAATTGTCCTATTATCCATACCTTTCAATGCTGTCCATGTTGTTAAATTATAGCAGCTTTCTATTTTGATTTATAAATGGACAGGGATATATCAGTAAGACACTACCAGAGTAGTGCAGTGAATATGCATGCATTCTTACATGTTTACAGAGAGAGATAGGAAAATAAAAGGAAAGGAATGGGATGGAAAGAAAAGGAAAGAAATAAATAAATGAAAGAAAAGAAAATGAAAGAATAAGAAAGGAAAGGGAAGGAATGCCAGCCTTTCCCTAAAGACACATGACACAACTTGAGACCAAAAGTCATAGCATTATAAACAGAATCCCTACGTTTATAACTCTTTCTGTTTGATTTTTACCCTCAGAAGGAAGATTACAAAAAACAATGCAACTGAAATTCATACTTCATAATAATGGTTAAAGCAATAACCATTAATAGTTCATAAGATTTGAGTCCAATAACTTTTAAAGGCATAATTCTTTATGAGCGTATTTTATTTCCCTTTATGCGCAGCTCTAGGCTCCTTTTCCTACTTCCCTGTTTCTAAAAGGTATCCACTATACATTTCTGAAAAATTATGTTTTTGCCTTTGACATCTAAAGCTTCCTGATATAATGTGAAATCATTCTTCAAAGTAGGTTTAGCAATTTACACCCTTACCAACCTTGTATATGAGCTCTCAGAGCTTTACATACTTATCCAACGAGTTACTACTCTAAGGATACTGACAGATACAGCACACTCTACTTTTAATTTGCTTTTTCTATCTTATTAGACATTTTTGTTTGTGTGTTTACTAGGCATTTGGATTTGTTTGCAGACTTTTGCTCATTTTCATTTTGGCCATTTTCTTTTTCTTATTTTTAAGGGAATTATGTGTCTCTTTAGAATACTAAACTGTGCCACTTAATAGAAGTGGCAGATATCCCTTTCCCTTCTGTAGCCTGATTTTTCATTCATTCTGTGGTTTCCTTTGATGTGAAGATGCTCTAATTTTAGATTGCAGAATTATTAAAATAAGTCTTTCTCTCTATGCTAAAGTCTTTTTTAGTTCTTTTGTTAAGGAATGTTTTCCACTCCCAAGGACATAAAGATAATCACTTTATAGGTACTTTAAAAAGTTTTAAAGTTTTGACTTTAATATTTCAATCTTTAATCCACCTGAAACTCATTTTTAGATACACTCATAGTGAGAAATATTTCAATCTATCTTTCTTTTCTTAATGTGGAAAACCAATTGCCCCAGTGCCATTTACTGACTTGCAATGTGTGTGTGTGTGTGTATGTATATATATATATATACATACACACACAGATCTCTTTGGTGTCCTCTCTTTTTGTCCACTCATCTACCTGTCTGTTCCTGTGCTAACACTGTACTGTCTTATTTCCTATACATTGTAAATCTTGCTATTAGAACAAATCTCTGAATTTTATTCCTGTTTTTTTTACTTTTTTTTGTTATCTTGCACTCTTCCCTCTTTGCATAAATGTGAGAATTGGTGCAATAAATTTTTTTATAAATTAAAAGTATCTTTTAATTAAAATTTCATTGACTCTATATGTTAGCAAAAAAATAAAGTTACTAAAGATAACTCCTCAACCATTATCAAGGTAAATATCCATGTTTATTTAGATCTTCTCTAATGTATTTCAGTAAAGTTTTATAATATTCTGTGTAAAGCTTTTCTATGTTCTATTAGATTTACATCTGGACATTATTACTTTGGTAGTTATCAAAATTATGTTTTCCAAACTACATTTTACTCTTTGTTGCTGGTATATAGAAATATACCAATTTGATACCTGGGCCAAGGGATTTGCTAAATTATCTCATTTTTCTAATGTTTTATCTGCAGATTCTTAGGGATTTTTTTTTTTTTCTTGAGACGGAGTCTCGCTCTGTGGCCCAGGCTGGAGTGCAGTGGCGCGATCTCAGCTCACTGCAAGCTCCACGTCCCGGGTTCACGCCATTCTCCTGCCTCAGCCTCCGGAGTAGCTGGGACCACAGGCGCCTGCCACCACGCCCGGCTAATTTTTTTGTATTTTTAGTAGAGACGAGGTTTCACTGTGTTAGCCAGGATGGTCTCGATCTCCTGACCTCGTAATCCACCCGCCTCGGCCTCCCAAAGTGCTGGGATTACAGGCATGAGCCACCGCGCCCGGCCAGGGATTTTTTTAAGTAGGGAAATATAGCTCCTATAATTAAGGAAAGTTTTTAAACTTCCATTCTAGTTCCTATGAATTTTCTTTATCTTAATGCACCAGCTAAAACAATCAAAACAGTGTGGAATTAAAGTGATAACAAGTGGCAGTCATGTCTTGTTCTCACTGAGTACATGTTTTGACCTAGGTTTTAGATGGACAACTGTTTCATTTATCTATTTTTGTATAAGGAGACATCCCAAAACAGTGACTTCAAACAATAACTATTTAACTTATTTACTTTAGCAGAGCTTGGTAAAGACAGCTTGCCACTGTTCCAATAAAGTTAGTATTAGGTTTTACCTAGAAGTCTAGCTAGAGCTGTTGGCTGGTCCTCCATATGGTTCTCCATATGACCTTTCTACATGGCTAGGTTGGGCTCCTCACAAAATGATGGCTAGGTTCCAAGGATAATCTGAAGAACCGGTGTTTGAAGAATATAAGCCACAGGTACAACCATTTATCAAGCCTCTGCTTAGATCTGTCACATTGGTCAAACTTATCACATGGCCAACTGTGGAGTAAGTCATTGTGAAACAAACGTGAGTACTGGGGGCATGGTTCCTTGAGCCCACTAAAGTACTGATCTACCCCAGGAGCCTTTATTAAATTGACAAAGTCCCTTCTTATTTCAGGTCTGCTAAACTTTTCATCATAAATATATGCTGACTTGTATGCAATGTTTCTTTTTCCTATGTCTATTAAGACCATCATACAGTTTTAATTCTTTTATTCATCATTTATTCATGTGAATTTATTGGAACTCCAACTGAAAATCCAGTAGTGATGAATTAGACAAAGTTTTCATATTCATGAAGTGCAATCTATAGTGGTAGAGAAACCACTAACAAATAAACATGTAAGCATGAACCGGGTTAGATGGCAACACACATTACAGAGCTAAAGAAAGCAAGGCAAGTGACATAGTGCAGGAAACAAACTATTTCATATTGTAAAGTTTTCACTAATAGCACCACATGTAAAAATAAAGCTTAAATACAGTTAGCTAATTGAGTATCTGAGGAAAAACATTCCAAGCAGAGAAACCAATGCAAAGTCCAGAGATAGGAGCATTCTTAGAATGTATAATTAATAGCAAGGAAGCCAGTATATTTTTTAAATTGTTCTTCATCATTACTAAATTATATTCACTATTTTTTCAAACCTATTGGCATAACGTTTCATAATTTATTCTTTTATCTTATCTTATTTTTGTGGTTACCTGAAGTTACATTTCCTTTCAATCCCTAATATTATTAATTTGTGCATTATCAGCTATTATTCTTAAAAGATTTTGCCAGAAATTTGACATTTAATATCTTTCCCTCTATTGTTCTTAATTTCAATAACTCTTGCTCTTATCGTAACACTGTATCATTTCTTCCACTTATTTTGAAATTTTTCCATTTGTATTTGTAATTTTTCACATTAGAGACTTAGCTAGTTAACATTTATTTTTTTCTTTTTTAATGTAAGTATTTATGGCTAAAATTATCATTAAAATCAGTTTAGCATATTTGTCATAAATTTGGTGATGTTTATATGTGATGTGATTCTTGATACTTGATTCTATGCCATAGTTCTAGTTAGTTATCATAGCTTTGTAAGTTTTGATATCCAGTGGTGTGACTTCTCCAACTTGGTTTTTCTTCATGTCATTGTGGCTTTTGGTTGCATGCATTTAGATATTAATAGAATCATTTTGTGAATTTCCATAAAGCCAAAAACCTGCTTGCATTTTACTGAGAATCACAATGAATTTAAACATAAATTTGGGAAGAATTGACTTCTTAGCAATATTGAAACTTCCACTTTATAAAAATGTAATATTCCTTGATTTATTTGTCTATTTAAAATTTTTTTAGTAATCGTTTGTAGTTTTCAATGTAGAGATTTTGCCAATATTTAATTAAATTTGTTCCTAAATATTGGGAGGCTTTTGATGCTACTAAAATTTTATGGCCTTTGTATTTTATTTAGTTTACTATTTAATTCTAATAGTTTAGGTATATTTCCTTTCCAGATCTTTATGTACCCAACCACATCATCTATTTTCAAATTTTATACCTTCTTTGTCATTTTCCTGGCTCTATTGGGCTACTGAGAAGAAATATTGACAGTAGTCATTCTTATCTTATTTCTTAACCTATAGTGGAAATTTAAAGTATTTCATCAAGTATGATATATACTGTAGCTTTTATGTAGAGTCTTTTCTTCAGATCAAACATTCCCTTTTCATCTGAGTATGCTCAGTAATTCAGCGATTTTATCTTTAGTAAATGTTAAATTTTTTCAAATGTTTTGCTGTATCTATTGGAATGGTTAAAGTTATTTTTCGTCTGTGTGTATGTCTGTGTGTGTGTGTGTATAATGTCTTCGTTTAATTTTGTTATCAAGTTGATACTGGCCTCATAAGACAAATTGGAAGTGTTTCTTCTTCCCTATTTCCTGGACAATTTTGTGTAATAAAATTTTATCTATCTATTTATTTATTTATTTTTAAACATTTTATTTTGACATAATTTCAAGGTTACATAGAGATTATCAGAATAGAACAAATAATACTCATATATCCTTTACCCAGATTCACAAATTATTAACATTTTTGCCCTAGTTGCTTTATCATTTACTCTTTTAATAAACATTTTTTTAACCTTTTGAACAATGTGTATTTCCTAAGAACAGATATTCTCTTGCATAACTAGTAAAATGACCAATAATAAAAAAATACCATTCATACAATAATATTATGTCATCCAGAGTCAATATTCAAATTTAATCCATTATCCAAATGATATCCTATATTGATTTTATTTCCTAGTCTAAAATTCAACTCAGGAATAAAAATTTCACTTAGTGGTCATGTCCTTTGAGGGTCTTTTAATCTGGATTAGCTCCTCAGTCTTTTCTCTTATAACGTTGGCAGCTTGGAGTTCCTGTTATTTTGTAGAATGTCACTCAGTTTGGGTCTGTCTGATATTTCCTCTGATTAGATCTAGGTCATAAATGTCATATAGGAAAATAGACATGAGATTGTCTTCTCAGCACATTACATCGGAAGGCACATGTTGATCTGTCCCATTACTGGTGATATTAGCTATAATCAGTTGGCTAAGATGGTTCTGCCAGGTTTCTCCATTATAAATTTACTATTTTCCCCTTAGTAATTTATAAGTAATTTGTGGAGAGGTACTTTGACAATACATAAATATTCTTTATTCCCCAAACTTTGACCTACTCATTTAAGTATTCACTGATAATTTTTGCTTAAATTTTTGCTTATAATTTTTATTATAATTGTAGCAAAATGGTGATTTTCTAAGTCTACCATCTCTTTCACATTTATTAGTTGATGTGCTACTTAAAGATATTAAATCCCCTTCTATTAAACAATTTTTTTAATTTATTTTTTATTTCAATAGGTTTTTGGGGAACAGATGGTGTTTGGTTACATGAATAAGGTCTTTAGTGGTGATTTTTGAGATTTTGGTAAACTCATCACCCAAGCAGTGTACACTGTACCCAATATGTAGTATTTTATCCCTCACCCTGCTCCCACCCTTTCCCCTGAGTCCTCAAAATCCATTCTGTCATTCTTAGGCCTTTGCATCCTCATAGCTTAGCTCCCACTTATGAATGAGAACATGTGATGTTTGGTTTTCCATTCCTGAGTTACTGCACTTAGAATAATGGTCTCCAATTCCATCTCAGTTGCTGTGAATGCCATTATTTTGTTCCTTTTAATGGCTGAATAGTACTCCATGGTGTATACGTATACATCTCCCATATGTTCTTTATCCACTCATTGATTGATGGGCATTTGGACTGGTTACATATTTTTGCAGTTGCAAATTGTGCTGCTATAAACATGTGTGTGCAAGGAATCTTTTTCATATAATGACTTCTTTTCCTCTGGATAGATACCTAGTAGTGGGATTGCTGGATCAACTGGTAGTTCTACCTTTAGTTCTTTAAGGAATCTCCACATTGTTTTCCATAATGGTTATACTAGTTTACATTCCCACCAACAGTGTAAAAGTGTTCCCTTTTCACCACATCCACGCCAACATCTATTATTTTTTGAATTTTTGATTATGGCCATTCTTGCAAGAGTAACGTGGTATCACACTGTGGTTTTGATTTACATTTCCCTGATCATTAGTGATGTTGAGCATTTTTCCATATGCTTGTCGGCCATTTGTATATCTTCTTTTGAGAGTTGTCTATTCCTGTCCTTAGCCCAATTTTTGATAGGATTCTTTGTTTTCTTCTTGCTGATTTGTTTGGGTTCTTCGTAGATTCTGGATATTAGTCCTTTGTCAGATGTATAGATTGTGAATATTTTCTCCCACTCTGTAAGTTGTGTGTTAACTCTGCTGATTATTTCATTTGCTGTGCAGAAGCTTTTTAGTCCTATCTATTTATCCTTGTTTTTGTTGCATTTGCTTTTGGGTTCTTGGTCATGAAATCGTTGCCTAAGCCAATATCTAGAAGGGTTTTTCTGATGTCATGAGTTTTTATGGTTTCAGGTCTTAGATTTAAGTATTTGACTCATTTTCAGTTGATTTTTGTATAAGGTGAGAGATGATGATCCAGTTTCATTCTCCTATATGTGGCTTGCCAATTATCCCAGCACCATTTGTTGAACAGGGTGTCCTTTCCCCACTTCCTGTTTTTCTTTGCTTTGTCAAAGATCAGTTGGCTGTTAAGTATTTGGTTTTATTTTTGGGTTATTTATTCTGTTCCATTAGTCTATGTGCCTATTTTTAGACCAGTACTGTGCTGTTTTGGTGACTATGGCCTTACAGTATAGTTTGAAGTTGGATAATGTGATGCCTCCAGATTTGTTCTGTTTGCTGAGTCTTGCTTTGAATATGCAGGCTCTTTTTAGGTTCCATATCAATTTTAAAATTGTTTTTCTAATTCTGTGAAGAATGGTGGGGGTATTTTGATGGGAATTGCATTGAATCTGTAGATTGCTTTTGGCAGTATGGTCATTTTCAAAATATTGATTCTACCCATCCATGAGCATAGGATGTGTTCCCATTTGTTTGTCTTGTCTATGATTTCTTTGTAATAAAATTTTAAACAAAACATTAATGGACATAATATGTAGCACCATTAAGTGTCCATTTTTGAGTCACTCTGCTAAGCACTTTACAGAATTATTTATTCAATATGCTCATTTTACAGATGCAGAAAGATTAAGCGACTAAAGTCACCTCACAAAGGATAAATGGTAGCACTAGAATTAAACCCAAGCAATCTGACTGTAGTTGTTATGTACTTATATATGATACAGTATGCCTTCTATTATTAAGTATAAAAAATAACAAATGATAAATTCCTCATGTTGGCTAGACTGAGGGAGAACAATACTGGAAGCAATATAATATTTTACAATAATTTTAGAGAGGAATTTATCAATATTTAAATGCATACAGTTTTAGAAATAAACTTAAACTGAATAATCTTATATTCTTTAATTTTAAGGAAAAAACCAACTGCAGAAAATGCAATATTTATAAATACGCTTATGCTATCACTTAGTTGTTATGTTATTCATAATTAAGAAAAAATATTAATAGAGCTATTTAACCTGGTTTGTTGAATGTGATAATGATTACAGAAAACATTGACTAATGCTGCTTATAATAATGAAAAACTGGAAAAGTGACTGGTATACAATAGGCAATCAATAAATATTTGTTAAATAAATAAAGAAAATTTTTCTGCAAATTGTGAATTGTTATCTGAGCAGAATGCTATGTAGCCTTTAAAAAAATAATGTATATCCACATAGCTTCAGAGGAATTTTTGTAACAATTATATTATTATTAAAAATACTAAAATGTGTATACAAGATGGTGAGACAACTCCAAAATATAAAACAACATTATGGACTTACCTTTATTTCTAAGTACTTACAAAGTTGTTGCAAAAATTTTAATATACATATTAATGGATTTAGCTATCATATGAGATTTGCAGATATTGTTGCTAGATTTGTTTTTGAATATTTCAGTAGATATTTCTGATTGTTAGAGATCATAATTTATGACCAAAATAGCTGTTCTAAATCTAATTTTGACACAAAGGCTCAAATTTGTAGCATAAAAAAATGTTAAGTACTGACTTCTAGTTTTCCAGGAGGTCTGGCATTAGAGATCCATTAATTTTTAAAGGGTTAAATGTTCCTGTTTCTTTTTTGGAAATATGTGATTTAGAGTGCATTGATTCTCCAAGTTTGGCTCTTGGACTAGCAGCAGCAGTACCTGGGTGCTTGTTAGGCATTCAAATTCATGAGTGCCATTCCAGACCTACTGAATCAGAATTCATGAGTTTGAGGCTTAGACTTAGGTCCTTATGTTTTAACAAGATCTTCAGGCAACTCAAATGTCTGCTAAAATTTGAGAACCAATGCTAAGGATGACAAAACCCCATAACTTACTAAACTATTTCCCTTCTATATGAAAATTTTAAGGGCTCCAAATTCCAGGTGTTAGAAGAGTACGAAATTGAAATATTTTTATCATATAGTCCAGACTTCCAGTATGAAAGACGTAAAATAAAAAAAGTCCTGAATCTTCTAAGGAAACAATATGTTTAAAAGTATCTGAGAGTAGATTTGAGAGTTTTAAAAAAAACTGTTTTTAAAGACGTAAAGTAGAGCTATGAGCTCACCAAAGTCCACTGAAGTTCGCCAAAGAGCTGAGTTACTTCAGCTCTCATGAGACCAGTAATTTTTGCTTGACGAAGGTATTTGGCAAGAAAATAATTCCACAATAACACATTTAAAGATACCTAGAACATTGAAAAAAATTCTCAAATTAAGATAATATAGCTTAATTCCCAAGAACTTATTTCATCTCTTTTGTTACTAATCTAGAAGGTCAGGAGTGTGGTAAAGGCAGTGTCTGATAAGGTTATGAGCTTCCAAAGAGTTTCTACATTTTTAGTGCAGACACTCTCCCTTTGGGGGCAAAGTACGGTTTCTCCCATCCCTATTAAAAAGAAAACAGTTAAACTAAGTTATCAGAATGAGATATTTTGACTCTTAACAATTTACACTCAAGGCTTTATGCTGAGTTGTCTTGTTCTAATCAAGCATGAAGGTGTCAAGCACAAAGCACGTGGCAAACGAAAGACACTCCCGCCTCATTCTGAAAACAAATACTGATAACCAACCCCACCCTCTTACCATTTCAGGCCAACCCATCTTATGATACTGGGACCAACTTGAAATAATTTAGAGGTATATTTAGGTTTCCCTCTCCCTTACTTCAGTAAAAGATCATTTTAGAATAACTTTATTCCTTTCCTAAGGGAAAGACAAAAAAGTTTCCATCCCGTCAGAACATACGGGGAGAGAAAACACACAGGCCCAGAGGTGGGAAGGTGTGTGACAGTCCATAACCCATTACACAACGATGCAACCAAAGGCTAAACCATGAGTTGAATATAGTTTTAATATTAAAAATAGGAACTAGTTATCATCCAAATGAACCACTGGAAAAAATATTACCATTACTTTAAAAAATACATTCCAATATTGGAAATAATCTGAAAACACTTTCCAGTAGTAACAATCCTCCTTAATATGAGGGACAAAAAAAAAGACCAGGCTTTGACCAAGTCCTTAGAGCATATTTCCATTTCATGATTTATATTCAAGAACCAAGCAACAAGCTGGACAGCTGCCTCTGTAACACTGTGTCCAATAGTGGTGTCCCAGATAGTTTAAGTGCCACTCGTCATTAGATGTTATACTTCAGCAATACTTCCAATTTTAAGTCTGTACTTTAAGAGGGACCCACAGGAACTCAGCACCAGGCAGAGCAGTGTAAGACTGGAAAAGAAGACTGAACTTTTGATTGGTCACTCACATGTTTTTTAGCGAGATACAGAATTACATTTACACTCTTTCCTTGCATTTCTTCTATATTAATGATCCCTCTTGCAGGAGGTGTAGGAGAAAGAATGCTGCGTCAGTACAAGAACAAGACTTTTTGGTCAAAAGTTGATACCGTTTAAATTCCCTCTCCCAGCGCTTCATGCAAAAAAAAAAAAAGGTTACTTCCTGAATTAAGGTTTGTATTTAGTAACCAACATTGACTGGACAGAACATACGTGACTTGGATTCCAAATAAATGAGATTGCTCTTTTTTGGGTTTGTACTGTGCAGCTCTTGCCACAGTTGTTGAAGAGTTAGGGCTGTGTCTGATCAGGAGGCATCTGTAGGATTTTGATCTCCAAGGAATTGTGGGTGAGTCACATACACCTGGTGTATTACAGGTGGGCACCTGTAATCCCAGCTACTTGGGAGACTGAGACAGGGAGAATCTCTTGAACCCGGGAGGCGGAGGTTGCACTGAGCCAAGATCATGCCATTGCATTCCAGCCTGGGTGACACAGTGAGACTCTGTCTTGGGAAAAAAAATAGAAGTGGGCAGAGTCAAAAAAGCAACTTCAAATAATTAATCCCTTTGTCCATATGAGTTAAATACAAACGTGTATATTTTAGGTTTTTAAAAATCAATGCAATATGGGAATCAATTTTTTAAAAATTATTTTTTGCTTTTTTTTCTCCTCCCAGATGCCTTCTGATTGACCTAGTACACTGGGTTAAAAGGGAATTCAAAAACATTAAAAAAAAGTTCACTGGTTTTGATTCATCTCAGTCTTTTGGCCTGGAGATTAGGCCAAACATCAAGCATGTTGGGAGGGCAACAATTTAAAGCAACATTATTGACTGTAAAGCATTTGCCAGGAATTTACAGTACAAAATGACAGATAACAATTATTGTCATAACACAAGAGAATGGCAAGCAGCTTTGTGTGGTATGAAAGTTAAACAGTTCTCAGGGGTTGTCCATTCCTGCAAAAGTTTATGTATCAAGGTGGGCAGAAGGCAATACATTTACACACTACAGATGATCCATAGAAAATTAAGCTCCAGAACTCCTAACATCACCAAAGCTGGTACTGGCTAATACTATGAAATGCGAATCTGTGCTTTATGCATGTACTGCTCAACAATACTACCACTCAACAGAATCCCCACACTGCAAGGTAGATGCATGGTAGATTAATCTTTGCCCTCTTTTGGAGAGCTTGAAAAATTCCTTAAACTTTTAGAAAGGGTGAAGAAGCAAAATAAAAGAGCTTCTCAAAAAAAAAAAATCTTGAATTATCAATTTTTGACGCTTCGTTGCTCTCTCTGGTAAGCCTCCTCCAGGGGTACTAGATGAGACAGCGTGGGAGCAAACAGGACATCCCAGATTTCTGTGTCCCTTTCCTAACCAAGGGTACCATAGAAACCTGCTCTCTACAGCAAGAGGCCAAAGTGCTTTCTAGAATTTAGTGCTGAGTAAACTGAGCCCCTTCATCTTTAGCTGCTCCCATAATCACTCTAATCCCCTTAATCCCATCAACCTTTATCATATATATGTATATATACATATACACTTATTTACAAGGTTGATAAAAGTATACACACTCAATTTTCAACGCAACACACTCTGCCACAAAAGAAATAGGGTCAAGGTTCTGACATGTCTACAAGTCAAGTGCCATATTGTTACTGGAGACGTATGTAAACCAGTCTTTAGTGTTTGCTATAGAGCACAAAGGCTTGTCATAAGGCTCCTCCAATGATAGACTGCTTTTCCTTTGGGAGCATTGATGTTTTATCTACTCAGACCAGAATAAATTTTTACTTGGAATTATTATTATTTTGAGACGGAGTCTTGCTCTGTTGCCCAGGCTGGAGTGCAATGGCACGATCTCAGTTCACCGCAATTTCCGCCTCCCAGGTTCAAGCAATTCTCTTGCCCCAGCCTCCCAAGTAGCTGGGATTACAGGCACCTGCCACCACGCCTGGCTAATTTTTTTGTATTCTTAGTAAAGACAGGGTTTCACTGTGTTGGTCAGGCTGGTCTCAAGATCCTGACCTCAGATAATCTATCTGCCTCGGCCTCCCAAAGTGCTGGGATTACAGGCGTGAGCCACCATGCCCTGTTGGGATTTTTTTAATACATGTGTTTACAGTGTGGATGAACTGCAGCTGCATATCAACTCCTCCAATATAAAGAAAAAGAAAATGGTATTTAACTGACTAATAAGTTTCATCTACCAGCTCTGGGCTTCAGTATTGGGTAGAAAGAAAACAGAGACTTCACCCTAAAACCAAAATTAAAAGACAAAAATTTTTTAAAGAATAAAGGAAAGAAAGAGTACTACTGTTGATTCTTTGGTCTGTGTCTAAAAGATGATATTCTGAATAACTCAGAGCATACAGCACTTCACACAAATGAGTAATAAGCTCCTCAGGCTTAAAAAAAAAATGGATGACTAGGGAGAAGTTGAAATGTCCTCGAGAGTCAGATGTTGGAGAATTTTGAAATAATAGACAAGCTTTTGTGTTCATTAAGATTCTTCTCTTTTTAGGGTTTCTCCCCTTCTTTCTTTTCCTTTCCTGTCCCCTTTCCCCAGAAAACATTTTTTTAAAACCAGCAGTTAGTGCAACTAATGTTCACTTAGCATACAGTGCAAACAGATGGAACAAAAAAAAAGGAATATTCCTTCTTTTCAGCTTTTTTCTCTTCACCAGTTAAAAAAGGAAAAAAAAAATTCTGAACTCTTTTAAGTCTTCATAGTTCTGAAATAAAAGATGAAAAACTCACAAAGAGAAGAGCACTCCTCTCTAAAAAATGGTATGTCATAGATCCAAACAAGGCTTCCACAGTTTGTCAAAGAGTGCTTATTAAGGCTTCTCATTTTCTACAGCCTTGCTGTGGAATTCTGCCACATGCAGGCTCTTGTCAATGTTGCTTGGAATAGGTTTTATTTCTTTTCCCAGCTGCTCCTCAATACCTTTCAGGTTGAAGTGATCGCCATATGTGATCAAGTTGATGGCTAAGCCAAAATGGCCAAAGTGACCTGGTCTTCCAATATGACGGAGATAGGTCTCTTCTAGCTTTGAAAAGTCAAAGTTTATTACCACATTCACAGCTTGTATATCAATACCTCAAGTAAACAGATCAGTGCAAATGAGAATAAGCCATTTCAGAAATAATAAAATACACAATTTTGATGTTCCTGCCTCATTTTAGCATGAATGTAGAAACAAAAATAACCCAGTTGAGAAATTTTGGCTGGCCATTCAACTCGCTGAGAGCAGTTAAAGAAAATGATCATCTGGTTTAGCTGAAGCCTGGAGAAAAGTGTGGTGAGGCCGTGTACTTTTTGGTGCTCAGTTACATATGCGTAGTACTGGGTTATGTCCTTCAGAGTTAGTTTTTCCATCAGGTTAGTCTCAGGGTTTCTGCAAATGGGAATTCATGAACTTCTGTATACTAAGAGGGAAAGTAGCAGAATGTAGTAAAATCTGCCTGTCTTCAGGTAGCATGAGAATAATATCTTCCATTAACTGCCCAAAATCCTGGGACAGAAACTTATCTGCCTCATCCAATACTATCACCTGGACATGACTGACCTTTGCTACTCCTTTCTTAATAAGATTCAGGATTCTCCCAGGGGCAGCAATCACCATGTGCACTGTATCATCCAGCCTCAGTACGTCATCTCCTGAATTGGTTCCTCCTGTGGTCATCACCACTTTGACTCCTCCCATGTGTTTGCTGACCTGGATGCAAATTTGACTGACCTGTAGAGCAGGTCCTCCTGTGGGAACAATCACTATTGTTTGTATAGTGTCCTTCTTCAGGTCTAGCCTTTTAAGTAGGGGAATGTCATGGGCACTGCTCTTGCCTGTTCCATTTTTTGCTCTAGCTAAGATATCCCTACCAGATAAAGCAATGGGAATGCTCTCTTCTTGGAAAGGAGATGGCTTTTTCCATCCCATTTCAAAAATTCTCATCAGTAACTGCCGTTTCAAACAGTAATCTTCAAATTAATATCCTCTTGTAGAGGTCACATCCAACATTTTGATTCTTAGATCCTTTGGAAGGAGTTTTAAAGTCTTCTTCCAATTATCACCAGGCTTAATAGTGGTGGTCATACTCTGCGCTTGTGGTTGAGTGCTATTATTGTGTTGGTGTTTTTCAGCTGGTTCGTCTGTTGCTGTGTCTGTGTGGCCTCTCCTCTAGGGCCACCACTGGGTTTCAGGGGACCCCTCAGCTGACCATTTTGACTGGACAGACCCATTATAACAGCGTTCTCTGTTCTGGTTGTGCTCATGCTGTGTTAATTGCAAAGGTGTCTTTCAAACTTCAAAACGTTTGAAAGTCAATAGAGAAACTGTAATAATAGTTTATTAGGCTGTCCAAAGTGAAGAGATAAATATAGGTCTTGCTCAATAATTAAGTTCTTTTATTATAATGCAGGCAAGCACCCGTAAGTCTCTGAATGGTAAGCAGCAGTAACTTACTTTCTTGTACTGTATCAACTTTTAATTTTTAAAAGGCCCTCTTACCAGCTTCAATTATAGCTGAATTCACTTACTTCAATCACTGAGGCCACTCCTGTGCTGGACACTCTTGGTCCTTTATTGTTGACTGGAAACTCCCAAAATATTGCCACTCTTTCCTCTTTGGATACCTCAACCTGCACCTCCAGATATAATTTCTAAGATCAATTACTGAGACACACAAAGAAATCTGGTGAGATTTTACGTGGTTTAGAATAAAGTCCAAAGAGGCTGTTTGATATAGTGGTTTTTCCTACTTCTTTCTAGAACTCACAGATGAAAAAGAAAAATGCAGAAATATGAGACTCATTACCAAGTGACTCGTCAACACTCATATACTGATGTGTATTTTGTTTTGTTTGTTTAAAGACAGTCTTGCTATGTTGCCCAGGCTGGAGTGCCGTGGTGATTCACAGGTGTGATCATGGTTCACTACAGCCTCAGGCTCCTGGGCTCATCCTCCCACCTCAGCATACTGAGGAGCTAGGACTGCTGGCATGTGCCATCATACCCAGTTAAATTATATGTATTTTAATTAGGGTAGAACCCTTAGTTATTTCCAAAGCTATTTCTTATACTGTATTTAAAACTTAAACTTAATTCTAAAGAAAAGATAATGAATAAATGAATCCCTTTTTTTTGTTGAGATGGAGTCTCACTCTGTCACCAGCCTAGAGTGCAGTGGTGCAATCTCAGCTCACTGCAGCCTCTGCCTCCCGGGTTCAAGTGATTCTCCTGCCTCAGCCTCCTGAGTAGCTGGGACTACAGGACCGCGCACCACCACACCCAGCTAATTTTTGAATTTTTAGTAGAGATGTGTTTCACCATGTTGGCCAGGATGGTCTCTATCTCCTGACCTTGTGATCTGTCTGCCTCAGCCTCCCAACATGCTGGGATTACAGGCGTGAGCCACCGCACCCGGCCATAACTTATTTTTAATATCTCTTGACTGCAGCTGCTACCACAATTTGCATCTTCAAAATGGTTATGGAGGTTCAAGATGGCTGACTGGAAGCAGCTAGAGTATGCTACTCTCAAAGAGAGGAAAGAAAGTGGCAAGTAAATAGTAGCTCTTCAGGTGAATTCTCTAAGAGAGCATGTCAAGATTCACCAAGGAAGTGAGGGGGCTCACGAAGACCTCAGCACATTTTATCAGGAGCTTCTCCTAGCCACACCCATCAGGGCTGGTGCCTGCACCTGTCATTGAGATATTCGTGGGAAAGCCACGTTTCCAGCTCTGCCCAGGTATATCCCACCACCCTCACAAATTAGGAAGCTCAGAACACTGGACACCCACCCCACTGTCCAGTCCTTCACCTGAAACAACAGAGAGCACCTCACAGTAAATAAAGGTCAGCTCCCCTCCCACCTACTTGTGTGGCAGCTGACTCTTACCTGCAAATGCCATATCCTGAGTCATAGGTCAAACCACACAGCCCAACACAAAACCTGCTGACAGAAGTGCATAGGACTATAGAAACAACCCCAAAGACCCTACCTAGTACAACACTCTCCAGATGAGAAGGAACCAGCACAAGAATTCTGCCACCATTAAAAATCTGAATGGAATGACATCATCAAAGGCTGACTCTAGGTTTCCAGCAATGGTTCTTAACCAAAATGGAGGCAGGAGGATGACAGAGGAGGAATTCAAAGTATGGATTACAGGGAAACTCAATGAGATCCAAAATAAGGTTAAAAATCAGTACAAAGAAACCTGTAAAGCAATCCAGGAAATAAAAGAAGATGCAAACATCTTAAAAAGAAATCATTCAGAGCAATGAAAACTATAAAACTCACTTAAGGAATTTCAAAATACAATTGAATGCTTTCCCAATAGACTAGACCAAACAGAAGAAAGAATTTCAGAGTTTGAAGATTGGTCTTTCAAACTTACCCAGTCAGACAAAAACAAAGAAAAAAGAAATTTAAAAATTCTTAAAATTCTTGGCACAAAGTCTCCAAGACACATGGGTTGTGTAAAATGGCAAAACCTGTGAATGACTGGCATTAATGAGAGAGAAAAAGAAAAAGTAAAAAACATGGAAAACATATTTGAGGGAATAATTTGAGAAATTTTCCTTTATCTTGCTAGGGAAGTAGACATACAGATATAATAAATCCAGAGAAGACCTGCCAGATCCTATATAAAATGAACATCACCAAGGTATATAGTGACCAGAATGCCCAAGGTCAATGCTAAAGAAAAAACTTTAAAGGCAGCTAGAAAAAAAGGTTAGATCCCATACAAAGGGAATCCCATCAGGCTAACAGCAAACAGAGGAAACATTATAAACTTATTGGGGGCCTTCTCAGCAGAAATCTTATGGGGGACTTACATTCAGCATTTTTTAAGGAAGAGACTCCAACCAAGAATTTCATACAACACCAAACCAAGCTTCATAAGTTAACAAGAACTAAAATATTTTTCAGATAAGCAATAGCTAAGGGAAGTCATTACCACTAAACCAGCCTTACAAGAGATCCATAATGGATTTCTAAACATGGAAAGAATAATAACTGCTACTACAAAAACACACTTAACTACATAGTCCACAGACCCTATATGGCAACCACACAATAGAAACTACAAAGCAACCAGCTAACAACTTTACGATATGATCAAAATCTCACATATTAATATTAACCTTGAATGTGAATGGTCTTAATACCCTACTTCAAAGGCACAGAGTGGCAAGTTGGATAAAAAACAAGACTCACCCATCTGCTGTCTTCAAGAGACCCATCTTACACGTGATGACACTGATAGACTCAAGGTAAAGGGTAGGAGAAAGATCTATCACCCAAACAGAAGACAAAAAAGAGCAGGGGTTACAATTATTATTTCAGATAAAATAGACTTTAAAACAACAGTAGTCAAAAAAGGATAAAGAAGGGCTCTATGCAATGATAAAGGGTTTGATCCAACCACATGGCTTAACTATCCTGAATATATATGCAACTAAAATTGGAGCACCTAGATTCATAAAACAAGTACTGCTAGACCTACAAAAATACTTAGCCACACCATGGGAGTGGGTGACTTCAACATCCCATTGACAGAGTTAGATCATCAAGGCAGAAAACTAACAAAGAAATCCTGGAGTTAAATTCGACATTTGACCAATTGGACATAATAGACATCTACAGAACACTCCACCCAGCAACCATAGGATATACATTCTTCTCATTTGCATATGGAACATATGCTAAGATTGACCACATGCTTGGACATCAGGCAAGTCTCAATAAAGTTAAAAAATTCAAAATCATACAAACTATACTTTGGGCCATGGTGGAATAAAAATACAAATCAATACCGGTAAGTTCTCTCAAAACCACAAAATTACATGGAAATTAAATAACTTTATTCTGAGTAACTTTTGGGTAAACAATAAAATTAAGGCAAAAATTTAGAAAATTATTTAAAATAAATAAAAACAGAGATACAATATTTTATTTTTTATTTTTACTTTTTTATATACATATTTTATTATACTTTAAGTTCTAGGGTACATGTGCACAACGTGCAAGTTTGCTACATATGTATACATGTGCCATGTTGGTGTGCTGCACCCATTAACTCGTCATTTACATTAGGTATATCTCCTAATGCTATCCCTGCCTCCTCCGCCCACCCCACGACAGGCCCCGGTGTGTGATGTTCCCCTTGCTGTGTCCAAGTGTTCTCATTGTTCAATTCCCACCTATGAGTGAGAACATGTGGTGTTTGGTTTTTTTGTCCTTGCAATAGTTTGCTGAGAATGATGGTTTCCAGCTTCATCCATGTCCCTACAAAGGACATGAACTCATCATTTTTTATGGCTGCATAGTATTCCTTTGTATATAAATGCCACATTTTCTTAATCCAGTCTATCACTGATGGACATTTGGGTTGGTTCCAAGTCTTTGCTATTGTGAGTAGTGCTGCTATAAACATACGTGTGCATGGAGACACAATATTTTAAAATCTCTGGAATACAGCTAAAGCAGTGTTAGGAAAGCTTACATCACTAAATACCTACATCAAAAAATTAGAAAGATCTCAAATTAACAATCTAACATCACACCTAGAGAACTAGAAAAACAAGAACTAGTCCCAAAGCTAGAAGACAATAAATAACCAAAATTCATTAGAGAACTGAATGAAATTGAGACTCAAAAATACATGCAAAGTAATAACCGAAAGCTGGTTCTTGTCAACCAGATCAATAGGACACCAGCTAAATTAACAACAAAGAAAGAGAAGATCTAAATAAGTGCAATCAGAAATGGCAAAAGTGAAATAACAACCAATCCCACGGATATATAAAAAATCCTCAGAGACTATTATGAACACCACTATGCACACAAACTAGAAACTCTAGAGGAAATGAATAAATTCCTGGAAGGTCACAACACCCCAAGATTGAGCCAGGAAGAAATCAAAACCCTGGAGAGATCAATATAGAGTTCTGAAATTGAAAAACAAACCTACCAAATAAAAAGGGCCCTGAAACAGGTGGATTCATAGCCAAATTCTACCAGATGTACAAAGAAAAGCTGGTACCAATCCTACTGAAATATTTTTTAAAAATGGGGAAGAGGACTCCTCCCTAACTCATTCTACGAAGCCAGCATCACTCTGATACCAAAATCTAGTAAAGACACAACAACAAAAGAGAAAATTACAGACAAATATCCCTGATGAACATAGATGCAAAATTTCTCAATAAAATACTAGCAGATGGAATCCAGCAGCACATCAAAAAGCTAATTCACCACTATCATGCAGGCTTCACTACCAGTACGCAAGGTTGGTTCAACATATGCAAATCAATAAACATGACTTGCCGCATAAACAATTAAAAACAAAACCATTTAATCATCTCAATGAATGCAGAAAAAATGTTTTGATAAAATCCAACATCCCTTCATGAAAAAAATCCTCAACATACTAGGCATGGAAGAAACATACCTCAAGATAATAAGAGCCCACTATGACAAACCCACAGCCAACATTATACTGAATTGGCAAAAGCTGGAAGTGTTACACTTAAGAACTGGAACAGGCCAAGGATGCCAACTCTCACCATTCCTATTCAACATAGTGCTGGAAATCCTAGTCAGAACAATCAGGCAAGAGAAAGAAATAAAAAGCAACAAAATAGGAAAAGAGGAAGTCAAATTATCTCCTTGCTGACAATACGATTCTATACCTAGAAAACCTTAATGACTTTGCCAAAAGGCTTGTAGAGCTGATAAAAACTTCAGTAAAGTTTCAGGATACAAAATCAATGTACAAATCAGTAGTATTTCTATATACCAATAACATTGAAGCTGAATGCCAAATCAATAATACAATCCGATTCACAATAGCCACAAAAAGAATAAAGTATGTTGGAATCCACGTAACCAAAGCAGTGAATGATTTCTTTGAGGAAAACTACAAAATACTGAAGAAAGAAATCATAGAGGATACAAATAAATGGGGAAAAAAACCCATGCTCATGGATTGGAAGAATTTATATTGTTAAAATGACCATACTCTCCAAAGCAATCTACACGTTCAATGCTATTCCTATCAAACTACCAATATTGTTTTTCACAGAATTAGAAAAAATATTCTAAACTTCATTTGAAATCAAGAAAGAGCCCAAATAGCAAAAGCAATACTAAGCAAAAAGAAAAATACTGGAGGCATCATACTACCCAACTTCAAACTATATTACAAGGCTACATTAACCAAAACAACATGATAGTGGTACAAAAACAGACACATAGGCCAAATGGGAGTCTCTTAGCAACTACTTTACTAATATTAATTTGCTTATATTTTGAAAAAGAGTATGGACCATGTCACTAAGCTGTTATGAGTTACATAACTGGCATGTGAAGTTGGTTGGTGGAGAGGAGAGACTGTGCTTCTATGGAATACAACCTCAGACTGCACTCTGATCCTAATCTCTGTCATGGCCCTATCAATCACGAGCCATCTCCGAGACTCATTCTGGCCAGACATTTAAAATACATTTTTCAATGGAAGTATTCAAACTACAGTAAAATAGGAGAATCAGGTGGAATAGTGGAACCAACTGCTTATAAATTTACTGTACACATAAAAATCATCTCTTCAAATCACCATGCCACCTCTTACTAAATGTGACTAAAGGTTTCCAGAAGCTAGGGAAAGTTCTTTAGCCTTTCTGTGGCTTTGTTTCACCATATTTAAAAAGCCCCACACATGAAGAATTATGCAGCCCAAAATGTCAATTGTTCTTCTGTTGAGAAACCCTGAACTAGGTGCACTGTGACTTAAGAAAACTACTCCAACGCAAAGACAGATAAATGTGTTCATATAATTTTTAACTTCCAAGTTTAGGGATATTACAGCCAACATGGAAGTAAGGATAAGTTGTTGGTTAAAGAGAAGTTGTTGATCATTCATTCTATATTAGATGTAAAGAAATGAAAAATAAGGAGTGGGAAAGGCTACCCATTCACTCTGCCTATTGAAATCAGGCTTCCACCTGTATCTCTGTACCAGAACTTTTCTGGTCAGGGGCAATAATAACTTCCTTGCATTTAGCAACAGTTTCATGAGTGGACCTAATTTTTAACAATACTTTAAATATTTGAACTTGATTATAGACTGAAGTAAGATAGAAGAGTGGTTGGAAATACAGAGAATGGCATTAGATGAACTTATCTAATGCTTTATGTTTCTTCTGTGGAACAGAAGGTGAGACTGTCTGCCAAGCATGAAGGGAGTGTGGGTAAATTAATGAAGGAAAGATGAATGTTTAAAACAGTTCCTGAAGGAAATAGGAGATGGCAGTAACCATAACAAATAAAGTAAGAGAAAAGTAAGATTGCTATTAATTTTAAACAACATCAGAGTGTGTGAGTGTGGAGTTTTCTCCAGATTTTCTGAACCGTATGTATAGAAAATACTGGATGCTGTTTTGGAGTATTCCCTGGAGATGTGGCTAGAGGATAAATGTGTTATGAAGTTGGAAGTCCCAGAAATAAATTGCAAATTTTTTTCCTCTGGCTTACTGTTCTAGCCCTTTACAGACATAGAGGTCTGGCTCTATAGGGACATAAGTACAGTTACAAGGAACTGAAAGACTTACGGAAAGTGGGCAGTTAAGAAACTGAAAGTATCTTTGAAGCCAAAGAAATGAAAAAGATGTAGAGAAAAAAGACACATATCATATGATTTTACTTGTATTATTACATTAGGGAAAAGAAAAAAACTATAAAGATGGAAACAAATTTATGGTTACCAGAAGCTGGAGTCAGTGATGTGTTGTTTATAAAAAGGAATGGGAGGATTTGGGAGGTGACAGAATTGTTTTATATCTTGCCTGTGTCTATAGTTGCATGATTATATGTGTTTGCCAAAAGTCAAGTAATTATATGCTAAAAAAGAGAATGTTAACTGTCTATAAATTATACATTTATAAAATAAATTGGAATGAGAGAAGTAATGGGAGAATGGCAAAGAGCATACTCCAATACCAAACAAAAGACTATGAAGGTGGGATATAGTCTTAGAGTAGACATGTAGGTAATCTTCATGATGTGATCATAACATCTGCACTACCTTTGTAACTTTCATATTAACTGTTGCACTTACTACATTGTATTCTAATTATCTGGTGTATGTGTTTCTCTCTTTATAAGGTGAATGATTTGAAGGTGGGGAATTGAGACTTGACCTGATACACAATTGAATTTTTGATATCTGGATTATGCCACAATGTCTTGTATTAGGTTGATGATCAACAATAATTTTAAAAAGAATAAAAAAGGAGTGGAGGTCAAGGAGGTCTGAGGTTAGTGTGGGGAGGCAAGATAATCTACCTAATATTGATTGTGGCAGCATGATGGTCAGTGGGAAGGTTGCATCATCAACATAGATGCCTGGGTGATGGCCATATTTGATACTGGAGAGAAGAAACTGGTATGGGCACCCAATATGCAGTTAGGAACATGCCTGGAAAATAAGCATATGAGCAAAATAAGAAGATGTAGAGAATTTTTGTGGTAAGAAAATGACCTCAAAGTGCAAGATATTTTATATGAAAGAGAAGAAGTAACAGTCAGAAAAAAAATAAGAAACTTAGAGAATACAGACCTTGATCCTACCCACCTCCTCAAACTGTGAGAGAAGGAGCAGCTTTGAATTGAAGAATAAGAGAAATAGCTTTTGGGAGAAGAACCAAATGTCAATGACAACACAGAAATATCAGGAGTAGGTAGTGGTATTGGAGAGCTTTTTCATAGTAGTGCTAGGGTTCTAAGGAATTTTATTAGTGAGCAAAGAATTCAAAAAGAAACATTCCAAAATGTAAGAATGACAGCATGGGCCGGGCGCAGTGGCTCACGCCTGTAATCCCAGCACTTTGGGAGGCCGAGGCGGGCGGATCACGAGGTCAGGAGATCGAGACCATCCCGGCTAAAACGGTGAAACCCCGTCTCTACTAAAAATACAAAAAATTAGCCGGGCGTAATGGCGGGCGCCTGTAGTCCCAGCTACCTGGGAGGCTGAGGCAGGAGAATGGTGTGAACCCGGGAGGCGGAGCTTGCAGTGAGCCGAGATGGTGCCACTGCACTCCAGCCTGGGCGACAGAGCGAGACTCCGTCTCAAAAAAAAAAAAAAAAAGAATGACAGCATGGGATAGGAAAAGGTGGGATGACCTAAGTTAAAGAAAAGAAATTAACAATATGTTGCTTGAATTTATTTTTCTAGCGATAGAACTTTTGCAAATGAAAACACTTCTTCACCATGCACTTATGTACCTTTTGGTCCTAGAGAAGAAATAATTTATTTTCAAAGATGTGCTAACCTTGTGGGTTAATTGTTATTTAAATAACAACTATTTACTCATGAGAGAGAGTGACTTGCATGACATAAAAAATTTCATAATTATTTTTGTAAGTAAGAGAAACATACAGTTTCACTTTGCTTTACAAAACAGTCTTTTGGGTAACAGTGTATAAATTACTTATACTCCAAATCACGGTTGCCACACACAACAATAACATTATTTAAAACAACTTTTTTGTAAATCATTTTGTAAAATGGAAAAAAAAGAACATGTTTGCATTAGGTGCTTCCTGCAGATAATAAAAACAAAATGGAATTTATTTTTCCCTCAGATGTGTTTGACATGTGATAAAGGTAATTCTCACATAAGAAATATTGTAGAGTGCTTACAAAGAATATATAAATCATAAGAATAAATCAAACACAAGTCACTAGAACTTGTATTGCCATATTAATATAATTATTCCAAAATAAAAGTTAATCTATAGTTTCCTAAAAAAGATGACCTTTGAAAAGGACAAAAGAGAAATATTACAGCTACGTGAACTGGCATTTTGAATGTTGATATGGTTTGGTTCTGTTTCCCCACCCACATCTTACAACTCGAATTGTAATCCCCAAGTGTCGAGGGACGGAGGTGATTGGATCATGGGGGTGGTTTCCCCCATGCTGTTCTCATGATAGTGAGTGAGTTCTCAAGAGCTCTGATGGCTTTATTAGTGTTTGGAAGTTCCTCCTTCACTCTTCTCTCTCCTGCCACCATGTGAAGAAGGTTCTTGTTTCCCCTTCACTTTCTGCTATAATTGTAAGTTTCCTGAGGCATCCCCAGCCATGCAGAACTGTGAGTCAATTAAGCCTCTTTCTTTTATAATTACCCACTCTCAGGTAGTATTCTTTATAGCAATGTGAAAACGGACTAATACAAATGTCTTACCCCAAATTAAGTTTGATTATTTTTTCTTTTTTTAAAAAAACAGCTTTATTGGGAGTATAATATACAAAGAATTGCACATACTTAATATGTACAAGTTGATGAGCTTTGACATATACAAATATCCATGATACCATTACCACAATCAAGGTAATAGACGTATCTATCACCTTCCAAAGTTCCGTTGCATCCCTTTGCTTTTTTTTTTTGTTTTTTTTTTTATAAGAACACAACATGAGATTTACCCTCTTAGCAAATTTTGAAGTGCACAATACCTATAGCCACTATGTTGCACAGTAGAGCTCTTATTCATCTAGCATAACTGAAACTGTATACTCATTGGAAAACAATTTCCCTATCTCCATTTCCCCCATCCCCTACCCTTGGCAATAACTTTCATTCTCTACTTCTAGAGGCTAAATGTTACAGGTCCTCACATAAGTGGACTCATGGAGTATTAGTCTTTCTGAGAGGCTTATTTCACTGAGCATAGTGCTCTCCAGGTTCATCCATGTTGTTGCAAATGGAATAAACTTTTTATTTTTAAAGGATGATTTTGCATTTTCAAACTAAAAAATTGGAATACCTCTCACTCTATTTGTTTGAAAATAGGCAGGATACATAGGTCCACAATCATGCTCACTGTACTCATAACCCCACCTTTTTACCAGCTATCTATTGTCGTTTGATTTCAATTAACAGTTAGATTTGAGTGAGGCTTGAATAGGATGATCATGAGAATGGTTCTAGCATGTGAGTCTGAGTAGCTATCAAGGTTTCCAATTACCTTGAAGCAGGACTTAACTCTCGGTCATATCACTTTTGTGTACGTATATAAAAACACAAATACATAAATAAAAATCAATGAGACTTATTTCATGGAGTTGTTTTTTTTTTTTTTTTTTGCTGTAGAATAGTAATATATTTGTTTATGTCATGAAGTACACACCAGGAGATTGGTAATGGAAAACAACTGGTAAATTAGATATTAAAATTTTGATATATCATTTCAAAACCAAACCAGATTAAAATTTAAAAAGCATATAATTTTCATTTGAATTAAATGACATTATCTGCAATTTTCAACAAGATAAAAGTATACATCCTCTGCCCAACTAGTAACATGAGAATATCCTTGCATAATGTACCTCTGCCCCATATAATATTTTACTTAGTTATGTATGCAGTCTAGTATCATTGAGCAGATGATACTTTCATGCATTTTAGAAAATAAAACATATGAAAGCTATACGATGGAATATTTTTCTCATATTGATGTGGCAAACATTTATTTACCACATCAATTCATTTCCTCCAAATAAAAACTGATACTAGTTTCTTGATACAGAAAAAGCAGAGGACTTGGATAGAGGGAATAACAGTCACTAATTTGACTGTACCTGTATTAGTCCATTCTCACACTGCTATGAAGAAAAATACCCCAGGCTGGATAATTTATAAAGAAAAGAGGTCTAATGAACGCATGGTTCTGCATTGCTGGAGAGGCCTCAGGAAACTTACAATCGTGGCAGAAGGTGAGGGAGAAGCAAAGACACGTCTTACAGGGTGGCAGGCAAGAGAGCTTGTGCAAGTGTAGAAAAAACTACCAGTCATAAAAACATCAGATCTTGTGAGAATCCACTCACTGTCATGAGAACAGAATGGGGAAACCACCCCCATAATCCAATCACTTCCCACCAGGTCTCTTCCACAACACCTGGGGATTACAATTCAATGTGGATTTGAGTGGGGACACAAAGCCTAACAATATTAGTACCAAATGCAATCCTAGATGAACTCCTAGAGCAGGAAATTTTAAATATAAGTTTTGAATGGAAAGACAGCTGTAGAGGAAGAATATGATTTCTCAAAGAACTATTATAAGTGTCCTGTTCTTGTCTAAAGTAATTCTTCCCTAACACAGAATCTCACTTCCTATAGGTTCTTAAGCATGATGATACATGTTTTGTGGCTGAAATAACCTAATGAAATATTCCAATACACAATTTTATTACATATATATGTTACTAATTTGTACATAGCTTTATAAGTATATATACAAGTATACATAAGTTTATAATATGCATCTAGCTTTTCAAAACTACATGAAAAGAATCTATGAAAGATATAGTAACAAAAATCAAACATAAGGCTATGTATACAACAGTAAATTGAATTCATAGATGACAAATTTATACTATAATTCAAAAATAGCAATAAATAGTAGAAAAGCATGATCTCATATTATAAAACTGAACAAAATTAATTTTAAATGCTACAACATAAATATCAAGTGGAAAAAAGCTTCCGTTTTACAAGATGAGGCACATTCTTTACAGTTGTATGTTACTTGGATTAGTATTTTAATTTGTAATTTAAATAGAACTTTCAATATGGTAGACTACTGTAATGATGATCCAGTATATCAGAATAGTGAATTAAATAAAACAAGAGAATAAGTGAATGGGTGGCTATGTGAATATATACTGTACATACATAGTCCCCAGGGTGAATGAGAACTGGAACTTTGCTAATACCAACTCTCTCCCTTGCCTCTCTCTCTGCCCTCTCTCTATGTATATACATTTGTATTAACAAGAACCCAGTTCTCATTCATTCTGGGGTAAGGGGCTTTCAGAGAAAAGGTAAACACCCTTGAGGCTTTCTGAAATGTCTTCTTTTTTTAATAGTAATGACCCTTTCTCCTTTACAGTTGAGTGTGGTGCTTTGCATGAAGTCACCCATCTCTTTCCCTAAGGAGGCCAACTTTGAAGGATAGACTTTGAAGAAAGTTTATCTCAGTGCTGTTTGTTAAGTGGCTTACCCCAAGAGGCCTCTTGCAGAAGTAATTGTTAAAACCATGAGGCACACCTGAGAGAAAGGCGCCAGGGACTACCTAACAAAGCTGGCACCTCTGGAGACACTTTGGAAGTATTTAATACATATGCCCTGATGGAGCATCTTACTCTTCAAAGAAAACAGTTTTGAGGCACCTAAGCAATTATGTACTTATTGACTTTGCGAAAACATTTATAACATCTTAACAATACAATTATCTGTAAGCTTTCTAATGAGCCCCCAAGTGACCTACTAGTGGAACAAAAACTTTCTTGATAAGAGCCAGTTTCCAAGAGACCATTTTTAATTGTATGAAAACTGAAAAATGATGGTGTTAAGAAGCTGCTGTTAGCTCTGTGTAAACTGTGTGGACTCTTTGCCAGTACAGCCCTCAGTGAACACACATCTTTAATAGAAATTAGCAATTGCTATAACCTGTAGTCTTAGAAGAAAATAAATACTGTAGAGGCCTCCAAAGTTATTCTAGTTACCTACTCTCTATATTGGGAGACAGAATTCAAACTCCAAAATTTCAAATTCTTCTTTGTTTTATGTCTAAGTGGGTTAGAATAATCTAATAAAATACTCCCAATAAACAAATCAATCCTGCATTCTTTTTAAATGTTCTGTGAAAGCAATAAACCTTGTAGCTAATTTTCAGTATGGCATATACACCAGTTAACAATACATCTTTTAGAATCAGATGGTGTGAGTTTGAACAATGAACCACCAATTGTTAGGTATGTGACTTAAAGAAAGCTAGTTAATTTGGTGGCTCAGTTGTAAAAAAGATGGTAATAGTATCTCTCACATGTGGCATGTTAAATGGGTTAATATATATTAACTACATTAAATAACATCACATATAAGCGTGGAAGAGATGTTAGTGCTCATCATTCAGCCACCCTAGTAACGATGTATTATTTTCTATAGTTATTTCAAAAAATACTTTTGTATTTTTGTTTTTAAAAATTATTTTTATTTTATAGAAGAGAAAATTCAGATTAAAGAAACCATAACTATCTTGACTAAGATTGCACTGGTATTTATCAGTAGTGTTCAACTTCAAATGCACATCTTCTGATTATGAGAATGGTGGTTCTTCCATCACCTTATAGCTATTTCCACATCCATTTACAATTCAAGCTCTTCCAATACTGGAAGTGTTAAAAATGGGATGGAAAACTGTAACTGGAAGAAATAAACACTGACTATTTTGTTTCACTTAAGGTTAATCAAATTTCAAAATGCACATTCTTTTTCCCATTACGGTGGTATAAGTAACTCATTCTGTCTCTTCCCCTGAGAAAGTTAAAATTGTCCCTGATTGCATGTGGTATATTATTGTACATAAAAGCTATAAAGAATTTATCAAAAAACTGTTAGAAATAATAAATGAATTCAATAAGGTTGCAGGATACAAATCAACATATAAAAATTATTTCCATACACTAACAACAATCTAAAAAAGAAATCAAGAAAACAACCCCACTTACAATAGCTACAAAAAAAAGAAAAATAACATACTTAAGAATTAACATAACCAAGGAGGTTAAAGATTTGTACACAAAAAAACTATAAAGCATTGATTAAAGTAATTGAAAAAGACACAAATAATTGGAAAAACATCCTATGGATATATCCTGCAAATTGGAAGAAATAATATTGTTAAAACGTTCATGCTATTCAAAGTAATCTACAGAGTCAGCATAATCTCATCAAAATATCGATGACATGTTTCACAGAAATGGGAAAAAATCCTATAATTCTATGGAACTAAAAAAATAACCCAAGTAGCCAAAGCAATCTTGCAAAAAATGAACAAAGCTGCAGGTATTATACTACCTGATTTGAAAATACACTCCAAAGCTAAAGCGATTAAGACAGCATGGTACTGGCATAAAAACAGACAGAAAGACCAATGGAAAAAAATAAAGAACTCAGAAATAAATGTATGCATTTACAGTCCATTGATTTTTGACAAAAGTGCCAATAGCACACAATGGAGAAAAGACAGTTCCTTCAACAACTAATGTTGGAACAATTGGATATTTGCATGCCAGTAGAATGAAATTGGACCCTAATCTCACACAATATTTTTTTAAAAAACTGAAAATGGATTAAAGACATTTGGATTAAATGTGTAATTTGAAATTGTAAAAATACTAGAAGAAAATATTGGGGAAAAAGTTCCATGACATTGATCTGGGAAAGACTTTTTGGATATGACCTTGAAAGTACTGGCAATAAAGCCAAAAAGAGACAATTTTGACTACATCAAACAAAAATGCTTCAGCACAGCCAAGCGAACAATCAACTGAGTGAAGAGACAACCTTTGTAATCGGCCAAGCACACATCTGTTAAGAGGTTACTATTCAAAATATATATTACAAATAACCCAATTAAAGAAAACAAATAACCTGGTTACGATCAAATGACCTGAAGAGACATTTCTCAGAAGAAGACATGCAAATGGCCAACAGGTATATGAAAAAATACTAAATTAATAGTCAGCAGAGAAAGGCAAATGAAAACCACAATGAGATATAACCTTATATCTGTTAGAATAATTAATATTAAAAAGACAAAAGGTAACACATGCTGATAAGGATGTCAAGAAAAAGGAACTCTTCCGCACTGTTGATGCGAATGTGAGTAAGTATAGCCATTATAGAAAATAGTATGAAAGTTCTTTAAAAAATTAAAAATAAAACCACCATATGATCAAGGAATCCCATTACTTGGTATATATCCAAGGAAATGAAATCAGCATATCAAAGAAATATGTGCACTCCAATGTTTATTGCAGCACCATTCATAATAGCCAAGACATGGAATCAACCTAAGTGTTCATCAGCGGATGAATGGATAAATAAAATATGGCATATGTACACAATAGAATACTATTCAGTCTTAAAAAAGAAGCAAATTCTGTCATTTGTGACAACATGGATGAACCTGGAGAACGTTATTTTAAGTGAAGTAAGCTAGGAACAGAAAGACAAATGCTACATGATCTCACATTATGCAGAATTTTTAAAAGTTGAAATCATAGAAATAGAGAGTAGAATTGTGGTTACTAGGGGCTGGGAGGGGATGTGGTGGGGAGATGTTGGTAAATGGATACAATATTTCAGTTATATAGGAGAAATAAGTTCAAGAGATCTATTGTACAACATGGTGACTGTAGTTAATAACGTTTTGTATTCTTGAAAATTGCCAAAAGAATAGATGAGTTTTCTCACCACAAAAAAGTATGTGAGGTATTGCATACGTTGATTAGCCATTTCACAAGGTATACATATTTCAAGACATCATGTTGTACATGATAAATATAATTTTTATTTGCCAACTATAACAATAAACGAATAATAGTGTATGACAGGTAAAAAAAGATTGTAAGCAAATTATTTTCTTATATTACAAAGAAAAACAAACCTTTGATTCCTTTGATTTAAAACCTCATCAGTTTTTAACTTCCAAATCCACAGGTGTACCTACCATTTCTGCCTTCATTTCTCTAACTGTGGTGAACTCCTCCGGCTATGCTCAGTATGGTAACTGCTGCTGCTTTCTCAGGTGTATAATGCCAATGACTATTGGCTCCCTTTTCTGTTTCTTTATCCTCACTTCGCACAGTTCTTACTGTCCTTCCTTTTCTGTTTTGAGAAAACAGGGCTCAAATTGTCTGTGAACCTCTCTAGTGGTATTGAAATGGGAAAAGTTCCCTTGTCCCCCTCGCAGGGCATGCGATGGGGATGTGGCTCGCTTTTTCAGGGCCCCACTGCTCAAACAACTAGGGGAGCTTACAGACAGGCAGACTGTGGAGCTCCAACCCCATGGCAGTGTTTAGGGGTGAATGTTTGCAGCTTCTGAAGCCCCAGTGGGCGTGTGTTACAGGGTGCTCTTAATTTGCTGTCTACAGGTGGCTTGTGTTAGCCCAATTAGACCTTCTACCTTGTCCGAGGACAGAGGGCTTTCTGTATCCCAGGGTTTCTTGCCTTGGTGTACCGGGAGAATTAGATCACACGTGGGCTTGGAGAATTAGTGTAAAGCTTTATTGAGTGGAAGTAGCTCTCAACTGATGGGGGAGCCAGAAGGGAAATGGTCTTCCCCTGGAGTTGGGCCACTCGGCCTTGCTCTCCTCTGCCGCGGCCAAACTCCACCTCCTCCCACCAGCTGATGGCCTGCTGGTATGCTGGTGCCTGTCTGTGTGCTCTTCTGCCTGCGTGCTCCTCTTGACATCCTCTCGAGGACCAGCCGCTTGCATCTTCTTTCGCCAATGTACTCCTCTGGACATCTGGCCACCTGTGTGTCTGCCTGCTGGGGCCTCGGGTTTTTATAGGCCAAGGATGGGGGCATGGTGGGTCAGGGTGGACTTTTGAAATGCAACATTTGGGCGAAAAAGCAGGAGTGCCTGTCCTCACCTAGGTCCGTGGGATGGAGCCCTAGTCAGGGAACACACCTTCCTCTACCCAGCACTTCTCTTCTCCCCTTTTGTATCATTTAAAGGGACCACGTTCTTCCCTTCCCAGCACTCCCTTATCAGTATGCTAGCATATTGCTTTTGGGATTCACTTCTCTAGGTTTTATTGTGTGTATTTTACTTTTTTTGTTTTTAATGTTTCTTTACTTATTTTCTTTAGTATACTGAAACTGAACAGCCTTAGATGTAACAAAATGCTATATTTGTTCAGAGCTGTGAGTTAATCATTGGAAGAGCATCAGAAAGTAAAGAAAACGAATGGGATATAAACAGAATGTGAGAATTGCAGTGGCATTGATAAAACAGATGGCAACTGATTTTGATTAAAGGGTTATGAGTTTGAATTAAAACAAAATATGGCGTGAGATTTGGTTGAATTTAGAATAGAAGTAAAAGCTGCAGATAAATAAAGTGAAAGTCAGTGGTACATGGTTAATATTTAAAGCAAAAAAAAAGTGAAAGAGGTAGACTACATTGAGACAGAAGAGCATGTTGTCAAAGTATGAGGCTTGGATGTTTCCCACTTTGGAAATATTTGATGAGAAATACGTGTTGACCAAAAAAAATTTTTTATCATCTAATAAGCAAATGTGTCAGAAAATTTTGACTTAAAATAATATTTGCAACCAACTAAATTATATCATTCATTATCTCTACTTATTCATCTATTCTGTGAACATAATATTCTGGAATAATATTCTATGGTGAATGAAACAAACTATGGGATGTGAGAAATACTAAAACGTATACTTCCTGTAAGATGTGTGTTAACTGGGAGCATAAAAAGTAGTAAGAAAGCAAAAACTTTCATGCACAAACCCTCTAGGATGTTCAATGTCATGGTAGTTTTATGGTATGTTTATATATATTTTAAATTTTATTTTATTTTAGGTTCCAGGATACATGTGCAGACGTGCAGGTTTGTTACATAGGTAAACGTGTGCCATGGTGATTTGCTGCACCTAACCACCCATCACCTAGGTATTAAGCCCTGCATGCATTAGCCATTTGTCCTGATGCTCTCCCACCCTCCACCCGCCGACAGGCCCTGGTGTGTGTTGTTCCCTCCCTGTGTCCATGTGTTCTCTTTATTCTACTCCCACTTATTAGTGAGAACATGCGGTGTTTGGTTTTCTGTTTCAGTTACTTTGTTGAGGATGATGGCTTCCAGCTTCATCTATGTCCCTGCAAAGGACATGATCCCATTCCTTTTTATGGCTGCATAGTATTCCATGATATATATGTACTACATTTTATGTATTCTATCATTGATGGGCATTTGGATTGATTCCAAGTCTTTGCTATTGTGAATAGTGCTGCAATAAACATATGTGTGTGTATCTTTATAATAGAATGATTTATATTCCTTTGGTTATATACCCAGTAATGGGATTGCTGGGCTAAATGGTATTTCTGGTTCTAGATCCTTGAGGAATTGCCACACTGTCTTCCACAATGGTTGAACTAATTTACATTCCCTCCAACAGTGTAAAAGTGTTCCTATTTCTCCACAGCCTTGCCAGCATCTATTGTTTCTTGACTTTTTGATAATTGCTCTTCTGACTGGCATAAGATGGTAGCTCATTGTGGTTTTAATTTGTATTTCTCTAACAATCAGTGATGTTGAGCTTTTCTTCATAATTTGTTGGCTGTGTAAGTATCTTCTGAGAAGTGTCTGTTCATATCCTTTGCCCACTTTTTGATGGGGTTATTTGTTTTATTATTGTAAATTTGTTTAAGTGCCTTGTAAATTCTGGATATTAGACCTTTATCAGATGGGTAGATTGCAAAATTTTTTTCCCATTCTTCAGGTTGCCTGTTCACTCTGATGGTAGTTTCTTTTGGTGTGCAGAAGCTCTTTAGTTAATTAGATCCTGCTTGTCAATTTTTGCTTTTGTTGCAATTGCTTTTGACAATTTCATCATAAAATTTTTGCCCATGCCTATTCTCTGAATGGTATTACCTACATTTTCTTCTAGGATTTTTATCGTTTTAGGTTTTACATTTAAGTCTTTAATACATCTTGAGCTAATTTTTGTATAAGGTGTAAGGAAGGGGTCTAGTTTCAGTTTGCTGCATATGGCTAGCCCATTTTCCCAGCACCATTTATTAAATAGGGAATCATTTCCCCATTGCTTGTTTTTGTCAGGTTTGTTGCAATTCAGATGGTTGTAGATGTGCCGTCTTATTTCTGATCTGTTGGTCTATGTGTCTGCTTTGGTACCAGTACCATGCTGTTTTGGTTACTGTAGCCTTGTATTATAGTTTGAAGTCAGGTGGCATTATGCCTCCAGCTGTGTTCTTTTTGCTTAGGATTGTCTTGGCTATACAGGCTCCTTCTTGGTTCCATATGAGTTTTAAAGTAGCCTTTTTTTTTTAATTCTCTGAAGAATGTCAATGGTAGTTTGATGGGAATAGCACTGAATCTATAAATTACTTTGGACAGTATGGCTATTTTCACAATATTGGTTCCTCGTATCCACAAGGATGAAATGTTTTTCCATTTGTTTGTGTCCTCTCCTAATTCCTTGAGAAGTGGTTTGTAGTTCTCCTTGAAGTCTTTCACATCCCTTGTTAGCTGTATTCCTAGGTATTTTATTCTCTTTGTAGCAATTATGAATGAAGGTTCATTCATGATTTGGTTCTCTGTTTGTCTATTGTTGGTGTATAGAAATGCTTGTGATTTTTGCACATTGATTTTGTATCCTGAGACTTTGCTGAAGTTGTTTATCAGCTTAAGGAGATTTTGGGCTGAGACGATGGGGTTTTCTAAATATACAATGTCATCTGCAAACAGAGACAATTTGATTTCCAGTCTTTTTATTCAAATACGCTTTATTTCTTTCTCTTGCCTGATTGCCCTGGCC
>NT_167245.2:4067029-4200957 GCF_000001405.40 Homo sapiens
TTAATTTCTGCTTTATAAGAGCTACCTATTTGGTATTTAGAACTTAAACACATGTCTCATATATTCATATGAATTTTATACTTTACATTATAAAGTGCCCTTCTTGTCACACTCAATTTTTTTTTTTTTTTTTTTTTTTTGGTGAGGAGTGTCTGAATTTCATCTTGTTTGGTAAGACGAATGTGACCTCTGCTTCCCTTTTGTTTGCATTCTCTTGTTATGTCTTTGCCCATCATCTTATTTGTTGAAAATAATGAATACATCTTTCTGAGTGGCTTTATGTTAGGTGTCTTTTGCATATTGCAAATAATACAGTTTTTATCTTAATCTAATTTAAAAATATTTTCATTTATTTAGTTCAGTTAAGAAGCCCATTTATAATTATTCATACAGCAAATAGATTCAGTCTAATTCAGAGATATTAACTTCTGTTAAGTATAATGTTTACATGAGTATTTTTAAAAATCTTTCACTATGTCTTTATTGTGCATTTTAAAAATTTTACCTTTTCAGATATTAAGGAAGGTGTATATTTCAAGGTTGCTTTGATAAGTTTATTTGTATATAATACACTTAGTTCCCTCTTCCTTTAGATAATTCCTATTAGTTTTAAATAATGAACAATCACAAAACTAGCTCATATCCTCTCCCTTCCTCTTTCTGTGTGTGTGTCTACCTTTGTAGTCTTAAATGTGTAAATACGAGCACTTGATTTATTAGTTTTAAAGAATATATTTTGATTCCTAGATGTTACAGACAAGAACATCAACAGGCTTATTTGATATCCTTATTCATTTTTCCACTTATTCTATAATCATTGAGAAATGTGTTTCAATTTCTCAATTAATTTCTTCCTATAATTCTCCTATATTTCTTACATATTTTGTAGTTTTATTGCTAGGTGCAAACTGATTCAGTTTTAGTATAATGTTCTGGTGACTTCATTATCACTATGTAATGGCTGTCTTTGTTTTTACTAATGCCTTTGGTTTTAGACTATATGTTTAGATATTTCTGTAATTACATAAGCTGTCTTTCTGTCTTCTGTTAGTGTTTGCTTTGTGTATCTTATATCTGGTTTTGATTTAACATTTTCATGTTTTTAGGTTTCTTGTGATCTTATGAAGGGCATATAACTGGATTTTGCGATATTGTTAATCTAATCTGAGAACTTTCCTTTAACTCCCATATTTAAGCTATTTATACTTGTGATCACTGTGCTATTTACATTCGTTTCTGTTACAATATATGGTGCTCTGTATTTGCTATGTCTTACTTTGCTTCTTTTGTTTTCCTTGCATCACTTATATTAAATCAATTACATTTTTATTTAAAGTATTATTTAATTTCCCCTTACTGATTTAGGAATTTTAAATTCTAATTATATTAGTTAAAAGTCAGTCTTATATTTTTAACATGTTTACCAAATGTGGCAGCATCTGAAGGTAATCAATATCTCTACCCTCCTTTCAAACAAGACAAAGACTTTAGGTGCTTTAACTTTGTCTGCCTCATTCTCATGTCACTTGTGGTTGCTCTGCCTTATTTTTAAATTTAATAGTCATTTTTATTACTGATTTTTATCGTTACAGTCATATTTCATTTCTCATTCTGATTTTCCAATATTTTAGACAGATTTGTTATTGTTGTTTGTGTGTGTGTTTATTTTTCTCATCTTTGCTCCCTTATCCTTCTGGGTTTAGTATCTCTGTTACTTACATGATAATATTAAAAAGCAAATGATAACTACAATACAATGCTACTTTCACCCAGAAGATTGTCAAAATTTTAAAAATTAACACTGTCTGTTGGTTATATATATATATATATATATATATATATATATATATATATATGGAGAAACAGATAAACTCATATGTTGCTGCTGGAACTATAAATTAATATAGCCTCTATGAAGGCAATTTTGCAATATCTATCAATATTTGTAATGTATATATTGGACTCAGCAACTCCCCTTTAAGATTGTATCATACTTGTATTTTTGCACATGTGCATTACAATGTCTATACAAGACTAACTAGCAACAGCAAAAGACTTCCAATAACCTAACTAGCCATCAGTAGAAGGAAACAGGATAAATGAAATATGGAACTTCCATAAAATAGAATACTACATAGCCATATATTTTTAATTTAAAAAATAAAGTTCAGAACAGTGAACTTAGACAGCTGCTGTTTGCGAAAATACTGAGCAAGAATAAAGATATACATATTTGCTTAATACACAGTAAACTTCTCTGGAAAGATAAACACAAAGCTGGAAGAACGGATTGCCTATGCAAGAGGAATTAGCAAACCTTGAGAAGGATTGAGAGTGAGGCTTTCCTCTGTATACTTCTTTGTGTCTTTTGAATTTCAAACCACATTCATATATTGCTTATTTAAATAAATAAATAATATATTTTAAAAAGAGGATAGTAGGAAGATAAGTGGAATCAGGGAGTATAGGCAACTCTTTTGAGGAGTTTTATGCAAAGCTGGGCAAGTCCACCTCTTCCTTAGCTATGTGACCCAGGCAAGTTAGTAAATGTTTCTAAAACTCCATTTTCTCACTCTTAGAATTGAGATAGTAATACCTGCCACATAGAATTATCTTGAAAAATAAGGTAAGAAGACAGGTTTCAGATACTTGGCACAGCAATAGCACATAGTAAGCACCAGTGAATGCTTAGTAGTAGTAGTAGTCTAATTCCTAAGAGTCCATGGAACTCTAGGTTCAAAACCCAGTTTCTTCTGGGACCATTAGATGGCATCAGACTCAAGCAGGTGCTCCTCTAGCTGACAGCTCTAAAACACAAGGAAGATCTTTGTTTTCCTTATTCCCTAGTCCTTTCCCCACAAAATTCTGACAATTACGCATTTCCTGCTTGTTTCACAATTGCCATGTGGATTCCAAGTGGCTATCCCTGGGTGGAGGCATAAAGGACTTGAAACTCAATGCTGTTTCCACATAGGGCCGGGCAGACAGGCTATGGAGGTGTTTTGGCATCCAAGGAAATCTATCAGTTTCCCAAGCTTTCCCCTCTCCATTCATACTTTCCTTTAGAAAGAATAAGGCATGCCTGGGTGGGAAAGATACTGCAGGTAAGCGACAAGAAGGGGAAATTACAGGGTAAGGAGATCAATCAAATGGTGATGGGGGGTAGGAGTGAACAAAAAGAACTCTGGAGCAAACCAGGATTAGTGACATCTGTGGTTCCCAGACAAACCACACTTACAGGAATTTGTCTGTCTAGCCCGAATATTTTGACTTTCAGGGAGCATTTTTCTGTGTCCCTGACATAAAGCCTACCTGGGAGTTTCCCCTGAGATAAGAAACTTTCAGGACATCTTAAGGTCTACTGCATCTTCCTGTACTGCCCATCAAGATAAGTTTTCCACCCAGCTTTATCATGATTAGCTGCGTGATTTCATGTCAGTTTCTCTGTAAAATTAGGTTTGACTGTTGCATTATTTTTAAGATGCCTTCCAGGCTTAAAGTATTATGATGCATGGGTATAACTGTACTGAGGAAATCAAAGAATTTCTCAGATCATCTTCTTCTGTGAGGGCTGCAGCTTCCATGTAGTTGGGAGATACAGGAATTACTATTCCTGTTTTATGAATAAAGGACATTTGTGGGAGAGAAAGGAATCAGGCCAGAGTTCTTTCTCTCCAAATGCCTATTTTACCCTCTGTGAAATTTGAGAGATGGATGGGTGTGGAGCTGCAAGTCAGCCCCAGGATGAAAGAAAGGCAAATCTGCACAAGAAACTGCCCACTCTCACCCCATCCTCACTGCACCCTGCTCCCAACAGCTGCCAGGCAAGAAAAAATCCAAAACAGCAGTTCTGGGGAATTCATTGCCAGCACTGGAAACTACCTGCTGTTTCCAGGAATATGAAGGTTTCTCTTTCCTAGAATAGCAACTTTCCAAGGTAAGTCCCTCCCAACAACCAGTGATGTGTACAATGTTGCATTTTCAGTGGTGGGAGTGGGCAGGGAGGATTAAGATTAGTACGATGGTGGAGATATTTATTCATTTATTCAATTGACTATTTATTCTCCACTATGAATTAGGCCCTCGGCCAGGTAGCAGATATAAAGCTTAATAAGATATATGGCTTTCCGCCCAGGTGCTCATGGTCTAGTGGAAGGTCAAAAAAGGTGGGAAAGGGAAGATAGAACTTTAAAAGGGCTGTGAAAGAGGTAACCGCACAGTGATAGAAGCACATGGAGAGTTCCCCAGACTGACGACATAAGTAAGGCCTCCTGGAAGACCTGAACCCTGAGTTAAGTCTTGAACTTGAAAATCAGGGGCGAGTCGAGCAGAAAATGGGCAAGAAAACACCATATGCAAAGGCACAAAGGTGTTGGGGAAGGCAGAAGTTTGTCGTGGAGCTGGATACAACAGGAGAGGGTGAGACAGATGGGCTGTCTATGAGTGAAGACTATAACAACGGGACTGGAGAGAAGAGAATAGATTCTGAATTATTTAGAGCTAAGAGCAGCAGAGCTTTTCTTGATGGGATTATGGATTAGGGTTTATGGACCCAAGATGCAATATAATTGATTGGGTCAGGGTGTGGACTCTAGGGTCAGGCCTGTGTTCAAACTCCAACTCCACCACTACGACCACCTTGGGAAAGTCATTGAGCCTCTTTGAGCTTCAGTTTCCTCATCTGTAAAATGGGGATAATAACCAACCTCATAGGGTTGGAGATAATGATTAAAAACGATAATACATGAAAAACACTTAGCATAGCTCCTACTCACATTAAAACTCTATAAATGGTAGCTGTTACCAATGTCATTATTAATACTGTTAATCAGGGAACTGTTCTCTGTCCCTCCAGACCCTAGCTTCTTCAAAATAGCAGACACTGGTAGGAACAAGGAGGGATATAGGAAGGCAATCTCATGAATATTTATGTCATTTTTGGTTAATTTCTATCTCAAACAACAGATAAACGACTGATGGAACAGGCAGCAAAATAGCAACTATGGTTATCTCCAGGAAGTGAAACAATGGGTACTTTTACTTTTCTTCTTTGTACTTTTTTATATTGTCTAAATTTTCTATATGAATGTATACAGTTCACGTAAGAAGGAAAATATTTTAAAATATATGTATTATGCCACAAAATACTCCTCATCACCAGGCAAAGCTCTAGTCACCAGGGAATTAAGTTTCCTGGACACAGACAGCCTCCACCCCACCACACCCCACCCCACCCCACCTCTCCACCCCACCAAAAGCACACAGTGTCCAAATCTCCATCGTGCTTGCAACTCAGGAACAGCTATCTGGCCGCACAGCTCTAGGGAAACTCAAAGCAGGAACAGCTCTGGGTCCTGGAGACGCCCCTGAGAAGAGGGCCCAGTATCCCTGGGGCCTCAGTCCATCAGCCGCTGCTGAACCAGGCGGGAATAGAGGTCCTGTCCCTCCTGGAGCTGGGCAAGCTTCTGCAGCTTGCCCTCCTGGAGCACCAGGATCTGGTGGGCGCGCTGAACTGCCTGCAGCCTGTGAGCAATCACCAGCACTGTGCGATCCCCACGGGAATTCCAGTCCTGCAGCTGAAGGGGTGATCACAGTGCCTCAGAAAGACAGGAATGAGATGGACACCACATCCACCTGGGCACCATCTCTTATGATTTAGGGTAAAGAAGGTGTGAAATAAAAGAAGGTAGGAAAGGGCAGTAGATAAAGGCCTGGACTGCCCTTCTCTCCCAGCTGTACTGCCACAGCTGGAGGAATGGAAGCCCAGGAGGGAACTGGGGCTGCCCTCACACCACCGGATTCCATTCCCCAACCCCAAGAAGGCACAGACTGTTTCTACTAGTAGGTCCTTCGTCCTCCCTCTGCCCAATTCTACACAGGCTGATCCTCCCAGCATGCCCCTCCCAGGCCCCACTGTCCCCTGCCCTCTCACAGTACTCACGGCCTGCTCGCACTGCACATCTAGGGCACTAGTAGCCTCATCCAGGATGAGGACCCGCGGGTCTCGTACAAGGGCCCGGGCAATGGCCAGACGTTGTTTCTGTCCCGCAGCCAGCTGGCTCCCCTTCTCCCCTACATCTGAGGAAATCAGAGAAATTCCCTTCCTCAGATACAAGTGACACAGATAACACACAAGGAGGGACAAGTGCACAGCAGGTACTTCCAGTAGGACCTCGGGAGGTGGGAGGGCCCAGTGCGGGGAGGGCCCAGTGGGAGGAGGGCCATGGGGTGGGGACCTGACGGGGCTGCCCATGGAGGGAGCACCACTGCTGCATTGCTCTCTGCAAACAAAGACTCTTGAGCAAGAGGGAGGCTGAAGAATTCAGTGTGTGGGGAAGGAGACGTAGGAATGGAGGAAAGGGCAGAGGAACAGCAAACATCAAGCTACAGGGACACGACCTTCACCACTAAGAGTAAGTCTGATTTTCTCTTTTTTACTGAAGGAGCAGGCTTACAATTTGTAGAAGATACCTGTGTATATTCCATGCTCCATTTCCTGGATGAAGTCATCTGCGTGGGCAGCCTGGGCAGCCGCCATCACCTTATCATCTTCGCAGCTCTGCAGCCCATAAGCAATGTTGTTCCTCACAGAACCGGAGAACAGCACAGGCTCCTGCCCAACTGAAACCACCTGTGCAGCAGGGACAGGGGCAGAGGACTATGTGTAAACCCCCAAGGCAGGGGCCCTTTTGTCCTCCCCACCTACCTCCCTCAGAATGAACACCTGGTGCGCCTTCCCGTGGATCTCCCATCCTCTCTCTGTACATGCTCCCCTCTCCTGTCCCCTGTCTTCTCCCTCCTCACCCACCTGGCTGTGCAGGTAGCAGTGTTCATACTGTGAGATGGGCTTTTCATCCAGCAGCACCTGTCCCCCTGTGGGCTGGTACAGATTCTGCAGCAGGGCAGCCACTGTGCTCTTCCCAGACCCATTGGGTCCCACCAGCGCCGTCACCTCACCAGGACGTAGGGTAAACGTCAGCCCCTAGAAAACCAGAAAAAGAGTTAAGGGCCTGCCCCTTCTCCCTCAAAATCCCTCCATTTCTCTTCTTAGCAGAGGCAAGACCAGGTTCTCAGAGGCAAATGAACTATAGGCTGTGATGTCCAATTATGCATTAGCAGCAGAGAGCAAGGGTCCAGGTTTCCTCCCTCTTTCAGGCACCTTGAGCACAGGCCTGTCAGGGCGATTGGGATATGCAAAGGAGACGTCTTGGAATTTCACAACCCCCTGCAGAGTGGTGGGGGCAAGCGTGCCAGGTGAAGGCAGATTTGGCTGTCGGTCCATGTAGGAGAAAACCTTCTCTGCAGCTCCCACGTTGCTGAGCATATCCCCATATATGTATACCAGGGTCTGGAAAACAGGAATGGGAGAGCCGGCTAATTAAACACACTTCTACCAGAAACCACCCTCCCAACTCCTCACACACTCCACTCACAACTGCACTGCTCCTCCTCCATACTCAAAAGAGATTCTCCACCTTTAAATGTACAATTTGGACGGAATTTAAAAGTGGCACCAATACCCCAGTGTTCCAATTTGCAATATAAAGGATATACAGTCCATTCTCCTACCATACAGCATTGCCTCTAGCCCCAGATCTTTTCAGTTACTGCTTCCTATTACTTGTGCCCAGTTCTGTCTTGCTTGATTAGACGGGGAGCTCCTTAAATGCAGGCACTGTGCCCAACTCACCTTTGTAGCCGTCAGAGTGCCCAGCGCAGTTCTCTACACAAAAAAGATGTTTATCAAGTGTCTAGGAAAATGTTTAAATAAAGCCCTGGATGAAGTAGCTGTTTTTGAGAACTGGTAAATGTAGGAAGAGATCTAAATGCTCACTCTGCCTTTCCTCATCAAACTGTACCACCGGGTAATGAAATGGTAGATGAGGGGAAGTCTCCCTTCATAGACTACTTCAGCTAATACGTGAAGAATGATAGAGTATCTCCCTTTTGCAGCCCTAATTCTGTCATGGATGTAGGTACTGCTCATCAGTGGCTGATGTTGCCACAAATAGAGAACCAGACATTGTGTGCCTCTTGGAGGAAGAATGCATCACCACCTAAAAAGTACTGTTGCTGGAAAAAGACCAAAAAAAACCCCTCAATCTCACAAGCTTCTAGGTTTATCTATCAATAGACAGGAAGTACAGAGGCAGAAGAGCATATAATACCACAGGGATTCAGTCAACAAAATCCAGACCCTAAGAAACTCCACAGGACAAACAACCTATTTCTTCAACAAATAAACTGTGCAAGGGAAACTTTTAGACAGATACATGGATTGATGGGTGGATGGATGGATAGATGGATGGATAGATAGATAGACAGACAGACTTAAAAGATGTATCAACCAGTCACAATATGTGGACCATTTCTGGATCCTGATTTAAGCAAAGTATAATAAACACACTCATACACATATACTACATGGATACCACAAGTGGAAATTTGACAATTGACTATTTGATAAATTTTAAGAACTACTGTTAATTTTTTGGTGTGATAATGGCTTTGTTGTTATACACTTTTAAAGATGTTTGTATTTTTAAGAAACATACTGAAATATTTACAGATGAAAGTATACAATATCTTGGATTTGCTTCAGAATAATATGGGTGGGGGGAAGTGGCTGGGGATACAGATCCAACAAGATTGGGCATGAGTTGATCATTGTTAAAGCACAGGATGTATACATGTGAGTTTGTAATATTATTTTGTCTCATTTTTGGCATATGTTTAAAATTCTCCATAGCAAAATTACTTGCGGGTTTTGGTTTTGTATTGTATTGTTAAAAAGAACAAATAAAGCCCAAGGCCCAGGAGTCCACAAAGAAAAAGAGAGGGAAAAAAGGAGAGCAGGCTTGGCTTCTCGCTCACCTGCACATAGCTCCCCACGCTCTCCTGGTAGATCATAAAGGAAAGCAGGCTGCCCTGGGTGAGCTCCCCATCCTGCATCTGCTGCAGCCCACAGCTCAGCATCAGCATCTGCACCCCCAAGTGCAGCACCTGGAAGAGGAGAAGAAAGAGATGAGGCTGGGAATCTTCCCATTCTTTCCCCCTCTCTGCCTCTATGAGACTGAGCTGCAAAGGCCTCTAGAACCAGCTGTAGTTTCCTCTTCCCTTGCCCTCCCCCTTTCCTGGGCTCCTTTCACAACCACTCTGGTATCTTACCCTCCTTACGAGCAGGTACAAGGCGCGTTCCAGGTCTCTCCGCCAATACAGCTGCCGACATTGTTCAAGGGCCTCTTTATAGCGACAGACTTCATGCTCCTCGGCCCCAAAACTGCGAACGGTCTGCAGCCCTCCAACGGCTTCCCGCACCACCTGCCCCGCCCTGGCCACTGCATCCTGGATCTCCCGAAGCACTTCCTGGAAAAGAGGGCCAGCAAACACCAGGGCTGATGTGCAAAGACAGCAGGCCCCCACATCTTACTCCAGCCAGTGAGATGCTCCCTAGTCTACCTAAAAATACCAAACTGTTTCTCTCCCTCTTCCTTACTCTTCTTTCCAGAAGGAATAAGAGTGAAGGAGCAAGGGAACAAAATATTATTGAGCTCTCAGTGTTAGGTAGTATAGGAGATACATGCAATTTTTTTAACCTTCATTTGAGGTAATTTTCCCATCCCCAGTGTCTGAATCAGGAAAGAAGGGTAGTTTTCCCAAGGAGCCACAGATAGTTAAGAAAGGTGGAGATGTAATTCCAAATGGATCAGAGGCCTAAACATAAGAGCTAACACTATAAAACTCCTAGGAAAATGTAGAAGAAAAGCCTCATGCCACTAGATTTGGCAGTGATTTCTTGGATATAACACCAAACGCACAGGCAACAAAAAATAGATAAATCAGACTTCATCAGAATTTAAAACGTTTGTGCATCAAAGAACTCTAGCAACAGAGTGAAAAAGCAACCATGAAATACAAGAAAATATTTGTGAATCATATATCTGATAGGAAATTAATAGGCAAAACATATAGTGAACTCCCACAACTTAAAAAAAAATCAGAAAATGGGCAAAGAACTTGCAGACATTCTTTCAAGAAAGAAACATAAGTGGCCAAAATCACACGAAAAGATGCTCAATATTTACTAATCATTAGGGAAATGCAAATCAAAACCACAATGAGATAATCCTAATCACCTAATCACCATTAGAATGGCTATTAAAAAAAAGACAACAGAAAGTGGTGTTGATGAGGATGTGGAGAAATTGGAAACCTTATGCACTGCTGGTGGGAATTTAAAATGGTGCTGCCGCTATGGAAAACTGTATGGTGGTTTGATACGATCTGGCTGTGTCCCTACCCATATCTGATCTTGAATTCCCATGTGTTGTGGGAGGGACTGGGTAGGAGGTAATTGAATCATGAGGGCAAGTCTTTCCCATGCTGTTCTTGTGATATTGAATAAGTCTCACGAGATATAATGGTTTTAAAAAGGGGAATTCCCCTGCACAAGCTGTCTTTTCTCTTGTCTGCTGCCATGTGAAATGTGTCTTTCACCTTCCGCCATGATTGTGAGGTCTTCCCAGCCACATGGAACTGTAAGTCCAATAAACCTCTTTCTTTTGTAAATTGCCCAATCTTGGGTATGTCTTTATCAGCAGCGTAAAAATGGACTAATACATGGTTCCTCAAAAATTGTTAAATAGAATTGCCATATGATCCAGCAGCTCCACTTCTAAGTATATACCCAAAAGAACCAAAAGCAGGGTTTCAAACAGGTGTACACTCATGTCCACAGCAGCATAATTCACAACAGCCAAAAGGTGGAAACAACGCAAATGTCCATTGACAGATGAATGGATAATCAAAATGTGATATATGCACACAACAGAATATTATTCAGCCTTAAAAGGGAGGAAATTCTAACACATGCTACAATATGGATGAGGCCTGAAGACATTACGCTAAGTAAAATATGCCAGTCACAAAAAGACAAATACTGTATGGTTCCACTTACGTACCGCACCTGGAGTCATCACAATTCATGGAGACAGAAGGTACAATGGAGGTTGCCAGCGGCCAGGGGTTGGGGGTAGTAGGCAGTTACTATTTAGTGGGTACAGAGTTTCATTTTAGGAAGATGAAAAAAGTTCTGGAGATGGATGGTGATGATGGTTACCCAATAACAATGTGGGTTTCCTAAATGTCACTGAACTGTACACTTCAAATGGTTGAAATGGTAAATTTTATGTTATGTATGTTTTACCACAATATAAGAGAAAAAGAGAAGGTGGAGCTGACATTCAGACTTAGGACTTCCTGATGACGCCTCCTTTCCCTATGCTGCATCCAGACTTCTTCTGCTGATTTTAAAGGGAAAATCTCCCTGCCTAAAAGCCTCTAAGAAACCATTTTTAATCTTCGCAGTGGGGGCGGGGGATGTACAGACTCCTTTGAGAAGCTAATGAAAAGTTATCATCGCCTATCATCTCCCCTTCCTATTCCCTCCCCCATACCTTCACATACACTTTACATTTTTGTTTACAGTTCTGGAGAATCATGAATCTTCTGAAGTCAAATATCCATTGTTGGATGGCTGGACAAACAAAATGTAGTATATACTACAATATACCTTCTCCCCTAACGGCTGAGAAGAGAACATCTCTCTCTAGGGGATCCTCTAGCCACAAATGTGGAAGCCTCCTCACCTGTCAGTTTTATTCTCCCTTTGGGGTTCCCTTACATGCACGCTCACCTGATGGCGGGTGTTGTACACCTTCTCCGCTGCTATTGTGAAGGGCATGTGCAGCAGAGAAAGGAGGGTGAGTCGAGGCGATATGCTGAGCATGAAGCCATACAGCCCCACCACTTTCACCAGGCTTCGCAAGAGCACATTGGCATTTAAAGGAAGCCAGTTACTCATCAGGGTGGTATCCGAGCTCAGCCGTGAGTTCAGCTCCCCTAAGAAGGACAGAGCAGGTGAGGAAAAAGGAAACCATGTGTACTGCAGGGCCCCCAGAAACTCCCTCCTGACCGTTCCCTCTGACACAGCCCCCTCCTCTGAACATCCTCCTTCACTTGCAGAGGGACAGTGGAGGCTGCTTCTCCACCCTGTCCCAAACAAGAGAAAAGCATCCCCAGGTCCTGGCATACGGGTGAAGGCAGGAGGAGAGGCTGTGGGTGGAAGGTCACTGAGGGGCAAGGGATGTCCATGGGAATCTCAGACCTGGACACCAGGCCCCACCTGTCTTAGTCTCCTGGAAGAAACCGAGGTCCTGGCGCAGCAGGGAGGAGAAAAGCTGCTCCCGGATCCGCAAGTTGATTCGAGACATGGTGTAGGTGAAGCAGCCTCCTCGGCAGCCTGCAGACAGTGAGCTGTGGGGTAGGAGAATAAGAGGGGAGGGAGATGCAGAGAAGGAGCAAGCCAGCGGGTGAAACAGAGGAGCAAGCCAGGAGTGCAGAGAAGCGCAAAGTCAGGGGAAAGCATGCCAGGAGGGGCAAAAGAGAAAGAAATGAGAGACAGACACACAGAGAGAGAAGAGGTAAGGAATACACAGAGGAAGAAGAAAGAGGAGACATGGTGAGCTAGATGTGAGAACAAAATCATAACATGTACAAATTTACAAGTATTTATGGAGTGCACTCTGTACTAGACACAATAGAAGACTACAATAGAAGGGAAAAGATATTGTGAAAACAAGTATCCCAGTGCTTGCTTCTGTCCCAGCGTCCCTCAGGCTTGTCCCTCTGTGCGTCTCCTCCGCCTTGGTCTCCTTCCTGCCCCATACCCAAAGCCCTTCTCTGTCATCATAGATACTTCATCATGGGAACTGCAATAATAAATTCCCTGCCCCCACAATTCTCTGGAGCCCCAGAGTCATGTGATTCCCATCTTTCATCCTTCGAGTTGGAAAATCCCTCTTAGACCAACTACATGCTACAGTAACACTTAGAGGAAAAAATATAAAGCATAAAAGCATGTATTTTACAAAATATATGTTTCTAATACAAATTTAGTTACCATATTGAAGAGGCGTTTGGGAGAGTCAGACATGATATAATGAGGGTTTGTACTTTAATGACAGGGATGTGTTCTGAGAAATGTGTCATTAGATGGTTTCATTGTTGTATGAACATCATAGAGTGTACTTACACAAACCTAGATGTCATAGCCTACTGCACACCTAGGCCATGTAGTTTAGCCTATTGCTCCTAGGCTACAAATCTGTACAACATATGACTGCACCTAACACTGTGGGCGACTGTAACACAGAAGTAAGTATTTGTGTATCTAAACATAGAAAAGGTACAGTAAAAATATGGTATTATAATCTTGTGGGTCCACCATCTTATATGTGGCCCATCATTGACCTAAACATCGTTATGCAGTGCACAACTGTAGTTTCAGCAGAAAGCAGCCAGGATGGAATGAAGGCACAATGAAATGGTTTTCGAGGGTACTCTAAATTAAGTATGACCATAAAAATAGAGACAATCAGGCCGGCTGGGATTTGGGTAAGGTGAGTGCACACCTCCTTAAACTTTGCACCCCAGGTGCCTCGCTCACCTCATCCCAGTCCCAGCCTTATCAAACAGTTTGTTTGTTTGAGTATGTCTAGAAAAAGAAAGGAAAGCAAGTGAAGGGAAAAGAGTAATGATTCTGGAAAGAAAGGTGATAAGCCTCAGAGTAAGATCTTCAGGGATTAGCAAGATGAGCTGGGAAAGAAGAGTGAGAGGGAGAAGCATACCCATCCTGAGAGAGTGACCCTGGAGAGATACTTTGGAGACAGACTTAGGGGTAGGAGGTAGGAGGCAGAAAGAAATGGAATTTCATGGACCTAGGAATGTTGAGAGACAACTGAGAGACATTCCACCTGAGACTTAAATTCCTTTTGTACTACCTTCACTCATAACTTGTTCCTATAATAAGATCAGATAAACTTTGAAGATATTGGATGAATATGAACGAAGGAAGAAATGAATGGATAGATGAAACAGAATGGTGACTACATTCACCATATTTTAGTTTAAGTATTTTTGTGTTTTGCGCCTGAAAGGGCCTAGAAATGGAGTTAGGGAAGTGAAGACCCCTATAAAGATTTGGGGCTAGCAAATGGACCCAGCTGCCCACCACCTACCTGCCAAAGGAGAAGAGGCACATGAAGAAGATGGCACTGGCAAAGGCATGGGGGTCAAAATCACCTCCCAGGATGTCAATCACACGACCAGAATAGTGAGGGATTAATGTCTCACCTGAAAGAGGCATGAAAAATAACACAAGAATGTGCTGGTGCGCAGGCCCTTTTACCACCTCCAACTCACAACGTCCTCTCCTGACTCACCCAAAACAGCAAGGACAAGGAAGAAGAAGGCGGCAACGAGGAGAGGCAGGTCCGGCCTGGAGAGCTTCAGCAGCCTCCACATCAAGACTTTGTTGTTCACCTGGTCCTGCTCCTTCTCCTGGGCTCCAGGAGGGCTCAGAACAGCCCACAGTGACCAGCTGAGCCCCGCAGCCCCGTACCCCACCAGCAGCCAGCTCCAAGGGGCTGAAGCGACTCTGGCTGGGGGAGCACGTGAGGCCCCCGCGACCAGGGCTCTCAGGGAGACAGTCAGGGGGGTGGCCAGACAGAGCGGGAGCAGCAGTGTCCCCACAAATCCCAGCAGCCCTCTTAGCTTTAGCAGCCCCCACAGCCCTCCCAGCCGCAGGGTCCCCTCCAGCCATAGTCCTGGCAGCCCTTGAGGAAGCAAAGTCCCCAGAGGGCCCTGAAGCAGCCACAGTAAAGCCGCGTCCACCAGCAGCAGGGAGGTCCAGGGTCTCAGGTCAGGGAGCCGCATGGCTCTGTCAACGGATACGAGATGAGAAATCATGGGGGTGGAGTCCCAATCCTTGTCCCTGCCCTCCTACCCGCCCGGCTCCGCCTAACCCGTCCATCGGCTTCTCATTTCATCCTATTCAACCCTGAGAGCTCTCCTGAGTAACCGGTGCTCATCCGTACACCCCTCCTACGACAGACAGCTTTCGGCCTTCTGGGGAGCTGGAAGCATGACCATCAGGAGCCTCGTGCTTAAAAAAAAAAAAAAATCCCCGGACCCCCACCCCCACCCCCGCCTGCCGCGGCGAGCTAAGTGGTCCGGGCTCCGCTCCCTCCTATCGCCGGGTGCAGAGGGACTGGGAAGCAGGAGCGTGGAGTGGGTAGTCACTTGGGCTGCGTTCCTGTTGGCGCTCCAGGTTCCCCTCCGCACCAACTCACCAGCCGCGGCGGGGAGACCGCAGCTCCGGGGGCTTCTGCTTCAGCGCTGAGGTCCGCTCCGTCTCTCCCAACCTCGCTACCGGCTCTGGTCCGCCAGCTACGCTCGGCCAGGGCGGGCGTCAGGGCTCGGGCAGCTTTCGCTTTCGTTTCCCCAACCAAGGCCTTCATTCTGGGCTGGGCCGCCGGGAGGGGGCGCGCGAGACCCGCAGACAGCGGAACTGGAGCCCGAACTCTGGTTCGCACTGTACAGGCCTGCAATGAGTCTCACTCGCCTTTAGTGGCGGTTACTCTGGGATATAAAACTGCAAAAATGTTTCTTTATCATTAAGTAAAATACAGTTGTCTCAAGGGCAACTGTATCTGTTGTCCTTGCTTTGTAATTGGAGAATGCTTTGTAATTGGAGAATCACTGAATTTTCTCAAAGTTACTACTTCAAGCTCTGAGCCTACTATTAAGAAGTGCCTTCTTTCTGGTCCGGCGCGGTGGCTCACGCCTGTAATCACAGCACTTTGGGAGGCTGAGGCGGGCGGATCGCCTGAGGTCAGGGGTTCGAGACCAGCCTGGCCAACATGGTGAAACCCTGTCTCTACTAAAAATACAAAAATTAGCCAGGGCGTGGTGGCGGACGCCTGTAATCCCAGCTACTCGGGAGGCTGAGGCAGGGGAATCGCTTGAACTCAGGAGGCAGAGGTTTCAGTGAGCCGAGATCGGGTCATTGCACTCCAGCCTGGGCGACAAGAGTGAGACTTCGTCTAAAAAAAAAAAAAAAGTGCCCTCTTCCATGCAAGCTCCAGTTTTAGGCGAGCGAGCCGGGCTCTCCTAAATAGAAGGTTCCAACCAATCTCACCAGGCCAAAGGGGATTTTCACGTACAGACTTTGAATTTAGTAGGCCCTGAGCGTTCATCTTCATCCGTCCTTCTCAGCCGGAGCACCTTGAGCTGGCGCGTGTTCAGGTGCCTCTGAGTCTGTACTCCAAATTATGTTGGGCGCACCTTCAGCCTATGAGGGAAATGCCCGGTACTGGGCTTTGGTTCTTGTTCTATTTTAACACTGTTTAGAACAGTAATTAGGTTTTTAAATATCCTTCCTGTCCCAGAGCCTTCCTATGCAACAGAAAGATTCGTTTATTCCAGAAAGGACTCTTCAGATTGAAACCACCTCCCAAACTAAAAACAAACAAACAAACAAATTCCCCAAAGGAAGGGTCGCTTGGATTCCAGATCACCATTTTGAAATGTTACCTGTGTGACTACCAAGGAGTCACTTAAAGTTTAAAATAGTGGTGGTGGGGAGGAGGGATTTTAAGTAGGGGCTCGCTAAAGTTTTACAACTCTATTCATTCTGGCATTTTAAGAATCTCTCTCTAATGAAAAAAGCTCCATGCTCAAGCTCATGCTCCTACTTTCAAGCATTTGTTTCCTTTATTTTCTGGAAAGTGACATGGTCCATAGTTCCAGCATGATTCCGAAAATCTCATGATGTGTGTCTCTTTCTTCTAACCTGGATCTTTTACATTTTCCCCACACTCCTCACTTAGGGGAGTCCTCCTGATCTCTTCTTCCTCTAAAATTATAGTCCTGCCATCTTGCAATTCAGCATGACACATCATGAAATTAGACCCTTAATGTCTGTCTTTATATTCAATATCCAATATCTCCAAAGTGTTATTTGGGATAAATGGTATGGTGTTTATATGATTACCATATTAAAGTGAAGTGGAAGCTTTTTCATCCTACTCTATAAAGTCAAAAACAGTTATCCTAGGTGCCCTACTCCCTGTTCCTCAAACCATTAACAATGGAGCACACAGGAGTCCCCAGGTGCCTCTCTATGGAAAGGACCCTAACCTATGTGAAATTGCAAACAAGTGTCCATGGACAGCAATGAGCAGCCTTCCTGAGGTCTTGGAGAGATGAGTGTGGAAGGAAACCCCAGGAAGAACTATGTGGTGAGGCCACATTTCTTAGATAGGGGTCTGAGCCCCTTCTCCAGAAAAAGCGTCTCTTTACTTTCTGCCCCACCCAACAACCACAGGCCCAACCCCATTCAGCCACAAGACAGAGGTATTTATAACCGTTTTTCTTTATTCTACTTAGTGGGGCACCCAGAAACTTCCCTGGGGGAAATGCTTGTTCAAATAGAGAACACGCAGAAGATGCACTTCACCGGCCTCCTCTGGCTGCTGAGCCCGTACTCTCTCTTTGGCTCAGGCTAGGCCTCTTCTTCTCCTTGGACTTAACGTGGCTTAGGTCCCTGAGTCGGCCAAGACCTCCCAGAGGAGACCTGCCCAGCTGCCACCACCACCATTATTGATTGGCTTCCCGGTACTGGTGCAGCAGGTCACTGACATCTGTACTTTCTACTTTCACCCAACCATCTTCCTTCATGTGGTACACTGTGGACAAATGAGAAAAGAACATGGAGTCACCTTTCACCTCAGCAAGTTCCTGTCACTGATGTTATGTTGAAGGCAGCAACAAGACACATGCGCAAGCTTAAAACCATATGACTGGGCCTTTAATGCCCTTCTTCTGACTCTGAAAATTTCCTCCCTACTACTCTCCCTCCTTTGAGTCTCTCAATCATTTTCTTTTTTTTCTTTTGAGAAGGAGTCTCACTCTGTGGCCCAGACTGGAATGCAGTGGCACCATCTTGGCTCACTGCAAGCTCCACCTCCCAGGTTCAAGTGATTCTCCTGCCTCAGCCTCCCAAGTAGCTGGGACTACAGGCACCCGTCACCACGTCCGGCTAATTTTTGTAGTTTTAGTAGAGACGGGGTTTCGCCATGTTGGCAAGGCTGGTTTCTCAATCTTAAATCACCCCCCCCACCACCCGCCGACTCCTCCCAGGCATGGTGGTGGGAGCATTGGTCTCTTACTATTGACAACGCCTCCAGAATAGCTGTCTCTGTGAGTGGCATAAGCAATAGCCCTGCGGCCAAGGTCATAGGCCTCTTCAGGGCTAAGATTAGGCCGATAGCCACTGTCCATGACCCCGTAGGCATAAGTGTTCCCACTACCCGTGGAGAACATATTTCCTGAGAGCCGAGTCCCATGTTCATCCACGTAGTAGAGTCCAGGACCCTATAAGATGAAAGATTTCAGGCTGAAATTGGAGAGGAAGATGTTGGTAACATGGGGGTTCAAATATGAGACATAAAAAGTGAACAAAAGAATTAATATTACCACAAGAACATTGGAATTAGGAAACCACTTTGGTAAAGTCATCGAACTTTAGAAATGAAAAAGGAAAAACAAACTTGAAATCAACTGTTTAACAAAAGGGACAAGCTTACAAAACACATGCAATGATTCATATCTGGGCCAATAAATAGTCCATGGATATACTGAAACAGTTCTATAACCAAGCACTCTATATGCCATGCATCTTGTCAGGGAGGGAGTAGGAGTATATGATGAGAAACAGATCTGTCATCCATAGGGAACATGGTGGGGGAACATGAAGAATGGAGAGCACCCACCTTCTTATCCCAGCCACAGATCATACTGCCCATAGAGAGGCCCATGCCCCGGTACTGGCACATCATGTTGGACAGCAGCTTGGAGGCTGCCGACACTGAAATACGTTCTCCATTTCGCAGATAGTACAGCCTGGGTGAGGACAAGGTGGAGTGAGGAAAGAGAGGTTAGCTCTTTCCAACTTGATGGGGCAGGAAATGATTAAAGAGATAAGCATTGGAAAGGAATTATTTTGTAGGATCTAAAGATCAGAGAAAGATTTGGAATTTAAAGTATCTGAAACATACAAAGGCAGCCTAGTAAATGATACTGTCCCGCCAGGGTGGATGTGTCAGTGCTAAATACCTGACGTACTATCTGGCTTATGAGTGGAGCACAGGCTGAGATTTGGGAGAAGGGTCTTATCACCAAAAAGCTGTTTTGTGAAATATACTATTAGCACTAAGATGGACCACATAGGACAAGAGTAAGGAGCAATGATCTGAGAGATCCAGGGATTAACCACTAGGCTAAGAAAGGAAGATGAGAGGCCTCACTTACCTGCATTCCTTGGCCAGCAGGCGCTCCCAGTACTGACAGTCTGCTGCACAGCCAGACATGGTGCCAAGCAGGTAAGGGTTAATCTCAATCACCTTGTTCACCCGTAAGGCACCTGGAAGAAGATGGAGCTTTGGGAGAGAAGGGATGACCCCATAGATCCCCCAGTGTGTCCTAAATCAATATCCACTTCCACTTTGTTGCAGAGTTGGCCTCCTGTGGAAAGGAGAGCCCAGCTCCCCAGATTCTGCCTGCTGGAGCGTATACACTCACTAATGTAGGACCCAGCTGAGGCCCGAGAATCCACTGCTGCAATCACTCCATGCTGGAACTTGAAGGCGAGCGTGGTGGTGCCATGGGCCATCTCAATCTGAACGTTCCTTTCTCCGTCCCCACCCAGGGACTGGAAGAATTCTGTGGGCTGATAAGAGAAAAGAGGTTGAGAAAGGCAATGAAAAATTCTGTAGTAAGAGGCTCCAGGAAAAGGTTTTAGGGAGTATGAGGGTGAGGAGATATGCAGAAATGATCTAACCATCAATAAATGAAACAGTTAATAACCAATCTCTAGAAGGAAATGGCTTGGGAGAAGGAAAAGAAGAGGCATGCCAGTATCAACCTTTTCCATTTTCCAGCACAACAGAAATGAAAGCAAGCACATGTTACCATTACTAAAAAATTTTGAGAGTGACTTAAAGGGTTTCTTCCATGCATAAAGCATTCAACCCTCACAAAACACGTTTAGTAACAGTATCCTCACTTTACAGAAGAGGGGCTTGGGACCTAGACTAAGTGACTTGTTCTAAGTCGCGCAACAGTGAGTTGCTGAGAGGAGGCCAGCAGGCAAATTTCATAGGTTTCCCAAGACACCACACACCTCCTATATCATGTGATAACCCCATGAAAAAGGCTCCACCATTTGTGTGTGGACAAGGGCAGGGAAGTTCTCTTGTCTTCCTTTGGGAGCCCCCACCTCACCTGTAACTCTTTGTCCTAACTTGCACTTCCTCCTCTCAGGCCCCATCCCCATGTGGCCTCTTCTTTGGGTCTGGCGCTCTCCGGGACTGAAGGCTACCCCCGACCCTGTACCCCGCGCTCCCGCTCTCGCCTCCTCCTCTCAGGCGACCCTCCACTCCTCAGCGCCCGCCTCCCTGCATCCCTAGGGGCTTCCCTACTGCCCCGACCTTCATTCCCCGGGGTAAAGCGAGCTCTGGAGATCGCATAGAGAAACTGTAGTGTCCTGGGTCCGAGCGACGCCCGCTTCCCGCAACCGGGAGAGCCGATTCCGGCCGCTGCCCTCGGGGGGCTCCGCATACATCTAGTAGCGCCATGACCGCCCAGCACCCAGAGATCTGTCCGCTCTCGGAGGAGGAAGTGAAAGCGAAAGCCACAGATCGAAGGGGAGGGAACAAGACTCTTTTCCACATCCCCCTGCCTTTTCCGAGAAAAGGACAGTTAGTGCCTGGACCAGGACCATCACACTGGGGACCGGCTTCTCTGCTCTCCCGTTATGGGGGTCGGGGGAATGATGGGTCAAGGGTCTTCCGAAGAAAGCGAGAAAGGAACAGGCGCCTTCAAAAGCCCACTTGGCGATGGGTTACAGTAAGAGGTACCTCCAGGCCCGGGCATCCGCTGGAAACAGGGGTGGGTAGGGTCGTGTCATCTAAAGGCGCAGCTTCAACCAGAAGACTAGAAGTCAGCCAGGAGCTGGGAGTAGTGTCACGCGGGGTGGGGGTTCCTATGAGCATCACTTTACAAAACCAGGAGGGACGGAAGTGCGAGGGGGCAGAGTCTTGGAAACAGGTCCTGGGCCAACTGCAACAGAATATACCCGCCGCGTGTAGGGGAAGGCGGCGCCAGGGAGAGGGCGCAGTCTCTGAATCTTTCCACGGGGTCCATCCTAGGGCCCCTCCAGGTTCAACGGTCTCCTAACCTGTAGTCACCCACAAGAGCGTGCCCTTTCTGCCCGCCCTTCCTAGCGTTGCTCCCTGCTTGGCTGAGCACTGCGGAGTTTCACGCCTCTAAACCCCGCCTCTTCTTGCAACCTGTGTTGGCCTCATCTACCCAGCAACTGTCGACGTCACACGACCTGGGCCTCCCTGAATGGGAGATATTTACTAGGCAATCCCGCCTACTGTTCTGAGGTTTCCCCTCCAGGTGCAGCTTCAGAGCCAGGCGAGCCAGGAAGGACCAGCGGGCGAGGTGGTGAGTTGTGAGGCGCGCCCAGTCCCTCTGTTCCCGCCTGGCACTTGCTCTGGCCGCGCCCGCCCCATCTGCCACTTCGGAGAGGCCACGGCTCTGAGCTGCGGCCGCTAGTGCCCTGATGGGCCCTGTGGCTGGGGTCTTGCACATTCTTGGGGGTGGGCCTAAGGGGATAGGGGAAGTGGAAGGGGCCTCATAGGAATTAAAAAGCTTAAGGGAAAAGGTGATGCAGTTAGGGGGTAAAACATTGAGGATGATAAAAGAGGAGACACCCGCAGCTGAAAAGTGCGCTGCAAAAGGCAGTGGGCCGTTTGGTGTGCCGGAAACATAAGAAACCACAGTACAAAACACCAATTTTATTATAAATATCAAGAACCTACAGGGTGTTTATGGGCCAGCATATGCCTTCAGTTATGTTGAAAATAGCTGATCATCTTTCCGTACATTCTGAACATTTCTCAGTTTCAGAGTGCTGGCCACACCAAAGCATCAGCCCTGGCTCTAAACTCCGTTACAGTAAGGAATTACAAATCCTGTGTTTGTACTCCAGGAAGTCTGCATTATCACGAGGAGCTTGGAAAGGAGGTAACACACTCAAGGCAAATTTCAAGTAACTCATCCTGGAGGCAGCTGCCTACTCTGCAGCTGTGGTTCTCCACCACAGAGAGAAGAAAAGGGAGGGAGATGGAGTGCGCAGGTCTGAGAAGGCTTTCATTCTGGAGCATCTGCAGGAGCCTGCACCATGGCCCAGTAGCACCCCTTTTTCTCCATGAGCTGCTGGTGGGTTCCCCCCTCCCGGATAGCGCCTCCTTCCAGAAAGAGGATGTGGTCAGCCTGCTCCACCAGGCTGAGGTGCTGGGTGATGAGAAGCACTGAGCGGGAGTACCGCTCAGGGCTTTCGTACAGGAGCTGCTCCACCTGAGGAAAGACATCGGACCGTCAGAGCCGGGGACTACCCTCAGCCCAGGGAGACACCTGTGTTTCCAGGGCTGGGACTGACCTCACAGGATCACTGCTGGCTCTGCTAACAACCCCAAGGACACCAACGTTTCCCATTCTGAGTACTTCTCCGCAAACCCTTTGTTTCATTAAGGACTGTTTTACATGAAGGGTGCAAAAGTAGGATAAAAATGAGAACCCTAGGGTGAAACACGTGACAGAAGAATAAAGACTATTGAATAGTCCTCTTCTCTACCCATGGACTTGGCATTTTTATATTCGATTTTAAGGAAATATAACTTAGTAGTAAAGAGATGAGCATTCAAGTCAGGCAGACCTGAATTTGGGTCAAGGCTGCGCCACTCAAAAGCTATATGACCTCTATATGAGCAGCTTATTCAACCTCTTTTAACCTCCATTTTGTCATCTGTAGAATGATGATAAATGCCTAGCTCAGAAGGATTCCTAATGAATAAATGAGTGACAGTGCATGTAAACAGACTAGCTTAATTAATATTAATATGATTAGGATGGGCTGGGCCCAGTGGCTCATGCCTATAATCCTAGCACTTTGGGAGGTCAAGGAGGGAGGATCACTTGGGCCCAGGAGTTCAAGGCCAGCCTGGGCAACATAGCGGGACGCTGTCTGTACAAAAAATAATTTTTTTAAATAAACGATATTATGAGGATGGTCTTTTCCTTATGTTTCGCTTTAGAAATTCAGTCTATAGGACTGGGCGCAGTGGCTCACACCTATAACCCCAGCCCTTTGGGAGGCTGAGGGGGGCAGATTACCTGAGCTCAGGAATTCAAGGCCAGCCTGGGCAACATGGTGAAACCCATCTCTACTAAAAATATAAAAGCCAACCAGGCATAGTGGTGTACACCTGTAGTCCCAGCTACTCGGGAGGCTGAGGGGAGAATCGCTTGAGCCCAGCAGGTTGAAGCTGCAGTGAGCCAAGATTGTGCCACTGCGCTCCAGCCTGGGCAACTGAGTGAGACACTGTCTTAAAAAAAAAAAAGGAAAGAAAGAAAGAAATTCAGTCTGTAGTTTGTAGATAGTCTCTTTTAACTGATTCTAGGTGTCTTTGCCTCGTCTTCTATCTCTACTCCTTGGGGAGGCATCCAATGGAACTGGATTTGGGAACTGAGAACTGCAAGGACTGGTTTGTATAATTATGATGTTAGTAAAACTAACAGAAGATGTATAAAAGAAGCAAGATTGGGTGGGATATAGCCATTAAGAAGATGACTGCCTCACCTGTAACTGGCTGTTTGCATCCAGGGCACTGGTGGCATCATCCAGGATAAGTACACACGGTTTCCGGATCAATGCTCGGGCCAACGCCACTGCCTGTCGCTGACCCCCTGACAGCTGGCTCCCAGCCTCGTCTACCTCTGCAGAGCAAAGGGCCAAGATGAGAACGGTATAGCCACATGTGTGCACGCATGTACATGCACACAGACACACTCATGCATTCACGCACTCACACACACCAAGATCTGACGGTTGTAGCTGGATAGGGGAGATTCTGGGAAGATGAACAGAATCCTGAGGATGTCAGGATGAAGAAGCCATAGGAGCATGATCTTACAACTTCAAATTGATGTCCATGAGTAAGGAGGAACTGAAGGATAAAGGCAAGACTACTGGGGTTTCAGCAAAGGTAAAGATGGCTGGGTGGTGAGATGAGTGGAGAGAGTACCTGTGTCATAGCCCTGAGGGAGTCCAGAGATGAAACTATGGGCCCCAGACTTTACTGCAGCAGCTGTGATTTCCTCCATAGTTGGCTTCTGGGTCAGGCCATAGGCAATATTTTCTTGAAGACTTCTTCCAAATACCTGTGGCTCTTGTCCCACTGCAGCCACCTGAGATGAAATATGATGAAGAGTCATAGAACAAGGCACATGGGAGTATGGTTATCTAGAGATCGAAGACTCAAAATCTTTATTGAGAACATGTCACAAAATCATACTACCTCCCTCCTGACTACACCACCATCTCCACCCAAGGTCTCTTATCATTCCCTAACCCCTCTTTCAGAGTGCTCAGTAAGAATGCTCTTCGTATTTGATGCTCCCTGCCCTCCTTCAAGCCACCTGCTTCCATACCTGCCTGTGCAGGTAGCGGTGCTCATATTGGGGAAGGGGCTTCCCATCCAACAGCAGCTGTCCCCCGGTGGGCTGGTACAGATTCTGCAGCAGGGCAGCCACTGTGCTCTTCCCAGACCCATTGGGTCCCACCAGCGCCGTCACCTCGCCAGGGCGTAGGGTGAATGTCAGCCCCTAGAGGCCAGAGAAGCACACGATAAGAGGCTACCAAGGCCTCTAACCTTGAGAGTGTCATTGCCTTGTTACATAGCATGATGTCTTACCCCAGAAGAAAAACAGGGAAATATAGAAACTCCTACCCTCCCACATGCACAGATTTCTGGGTGATGCCTCCCCAAGGAGTAGAGATAGAAGAAGCAGCAAAGACAAGGGCAGAGACCCAGCACCACTATGCCACACACTTGATGTCAGATACCACCAGGAAAGGGAAAAATCACATTCCAAATTACAAAGGAAAAGGAAAGATGGAAGACCGAAGACACAGATTTTGCTGCAGCAATTCCTTGGAACGTGAGAGCACTCTCTTCGAAACCTCTTCTCTCATTCTCTTTGGAAGCCCAAACTGGGTTCTTGAGTTTGGGGAAGATTTATGGAACAGATGATGCCTACCATTGCCTTTAAAGGGTTAGGGAGGATATATGCTTGGCAGTAAGCAGGCTGAAGGCAGGAAGAAAATTTAGGATGGCAGAATTGCAGTTGGGGCCAGTGGAATACAGGGAGTGGTAGGTTGTACCTGTAGCACTAAGACATCTGGGCGGTTTGGGTAGGCAAAGGAGACATCTTGGAACTGGACAAGGCCCTCCAAGTGTAAGGGAGTCAACAGACCACTGGGTGGGCAGCGAGGGGTGCGGTCCAGGTACTCAAATATTTTCTCTGAGGAGCCCACAGCCTTCTGTACTCTGGGGTAGATGGAGAGCAGTACCTAGAGGGAGGTAAGAATAGTGAAAGTGAGGTAGTCTGCTTGCCAGCATTATGTGAAGCAAGAAGGGTAAAGAATGGAAGGACATCACACAGATGGTGCTGGGCCAGAGGAAGGAATCACACTGGGGAGTGAAGGTGGAGGGACCTCACCTCCACAGCCTGGGTGAACTGCATCTGGTAGAGAACAAATGTGACAAGGTTCCCACTGCTTACAGCCCCACTGGTCACCAGCTGCCCACCAATGTAGAGGATTCCCACTTTCAGCAGCATACCTGAAATCTATAAAGAGACCACAAAAAAAGGGACTGAGGTAGAGAAATCTGGAGGGGACACAAAGAACCACAGTCATTAACCTGAAGGAAATATCAAGTCCCTGTCTCCTAAGTGACATCGGCAGGCTCAATAGGCAGACAGGAGAATGAACCAGAGACCCCATGGAGTCTGACTCAATGCACATCATGCAAGTCACAGTTATCTTCACCACCATCACCACTATCACCTTGTCTGGGGAGCATTTTACTCTTCACAAAAGGCTTTCATTCATGTGATGTCAGCTAATACATGAAGAGCCTTATAAAGAAGGTTATATCACTCCATTTTTGAAAAATGAGGAAACAACCAGTCGGGCGCAGTGGCTCATGCCTGCAATTCCAGCACTTTGGGAGGCCGAAGTGGGCGGATCACAAGGTCAGGAGATTGAGACCATCCTGGCTAACACGGAGAAACCTCGTCTCTACTAAAAATACAAAAAAAAAAAAAATTAGCCGGGCGTGGTGGCGGGTGCCTGTAGTCCCAGCTACTCAGGAGGCTGAGGCGGGAGAACGGCGTGAACCCGGGAGGCGGAGCTTGCAGTGAGCCCAGATCGCGCCACTGCACTCCAGCCTGGGCGACAAAGCGAGACTCCAGCTCAAAAATAATAATAATAAGTAAAAATAAACAAACAAACAAACAAATAAATAAATAAAGAGGAAACAGTCTCAGAGAAGGTAAATTTGTTGTCATGATCACAAGACAAGTAAATTGCATCATCAAGCCAGGATCTTCGGATCACTGGCGTAGCTCTCTTTCCAGTGCATCACAGATGTCCCTCATCCCTGGCTTCCACTATTCCCATCACTCTCACTAACAAATCTACAAGGTACCAGCATGAAGCAGTCCCAGGTGCAAGAATTTATGGCGCCCTGCACTTCCCCTGAGAGGCAAAGGAAGGCCCTAGGACTGGAAGACACGCATCTCTCCAATCCACATGGTTGGGTGGATTTTATGTACCATACTGAAAGGAAGCCACCTAGCATCTTTAAAGAGAGGGAGGGGGCTAGGGACACTGAGTAGAGTCATTGAGCCTCAGGTTGCTAGGACGAAAATACTGAACCAACCATTTCCCAGTAAAGGAGGAGTGGGAGCAGGGTCATAGGAATGGGAATGGAGTCACGGCATCTTAAGGACAAGGGAATGGGTATTCATCTTCAGGTGCTCACACTAGTGGTCCAGGAGTTGACTGCATAGGCCACAGCCTCCTTCTGGTTGAGTGTCTTTATTTCTTGCAGCTTTTCCCTAAACTTCTGGGCTTCGCCCTCCTCGTTGGCAAAGCTTCGAACTGTAGGCATGGCCGACAGAGCCTCAATGGCCACCTGGCTGGACTTTGCCAGAGATTCCCGCACCTGCACTTCCAGCAACTGTGGATACATGGACAAGAGATGTCACACGGGTTGGCAAACCATCAGGGACACTAATACCTGAGTTACCTATTTGGAAATTAAAGGTGAGAAGAGACAGAGGAAAAGGAGAAAAGAGAAAGAGACACAGCTATGCCCCTTGGATGCTAAAGAAATACGAGGAAGAGGAAAATGACTCAGAACGGGTTGGGGATCAAATTCTTAAAGACAGATTGTGGGGAGAAGCTAGAAAAGAAGACCCAGAGAGTATGGAGGTTAATGTTGAGCAACCTGGGAACATGGACCACAGGGACAGGGTGTTCCATGAAGATGGAGAATCAGTAAGGGTGCCAGGAAAGCTGGACTGAAAGCAATGTGAGAGGAACTGAGTCTGCCAAGTCTGGGAGATGAGGGTCTGTGTAGAGCGGGCCAACTCCATGAACATACCTGGTACCATTTTCCCACCTTCTTGGGCAGAAGGAAAAGCAGAGGCAGGGTGATCAGGGTGACCATGGTGAGGGACACTGATCCCCAGAGCATGATCCCCAAGAGACATAGGCCTCGCACCAGGTACCACAGAAATAAGCTCAGATTCTCACTCAGAGAATCACTCAGGGTGGACGTGTCCTCTGTTACCCGAGACATGATGTTACCTGCAGGGTTGGGGAGAAGAGAGTGAGGTGAATCAGACAGGTTCCAAGTGATGAGACGAACTAACAATGAGCCAGGATGCCAGGGTCAGGGGTGTCAACATGGGGTTCTAAGGAGGCTGCAGGAAACAAGGTTAGGGTTCTCCAGAGGTCTGCAAATCTCAGTGCAGGGAAGATGAGTGTTAAAGAGGAAAGGCCTGACCTTCATTTTAATTATAAAGTCATTAATGCACATGTGAATTTCCATTTTCCTGAAAGCTTTCTGTTCCCTAGAGAACCTGTATGTCCCATGCTATACACACAGGCAGGAAGAGCTTAAACTGGTCACATAACAGAGATGGAGGAGGAGGGTGCTGCTAGGAAGCATGCCAAAGTCTGTGGAGCACTCACTGGGACTAGGGTTCTAACCCCAGGTCTATCTCTAGCCATATGTAACTGTACAGCTTCTAGTGCTGCTAGAAAGCATGCCGAAGTCTGTGGAGCACTCAAGAGACCAGGGTTCTAACCCCAAGTGTGTCTCTAGCCATATGTAACTGTGCAGTTTCAGCATTTAGGGTCTTGGCCTCAGTTTCCTTCTCTGTCAGATGAGGCAGCTGGTCTCTATGAGCTCAAAATTTCCAGGTTTGAAATTCTATGGTTTCTATCTAAGGATACATAGGAATAGATTTATAAGAAAATGCTAGATGAAAACTCTAGGTTTTTCTTAAGGTAAGGAGGACAATATTTTGCTCCTGAGGTATATCAAGAATGAGAAAAACAATTGTGTGTGTGTGTGTGTGAGAGAGAGAGAGAGAGAGAGACAGAGACAGAGAGAGAGAGACAGGGAGAGGGTATATCAAGAATGAGAAGGAACAATGTGTGTATGTGTGTGTGAGAGAGAGAGAGCGGGGAGGGGGGAGATCAAAGCAGATGTATGAGGATATGAACAGTACATGGCGTATAATGAAAGAGTTTCAGGAGAAACCTGTCTGGTTCTGTTGGAAAAACTCCGTCTCCTGGCGCAGGACAGCCCCAAACACCTCTCCCTGCAAGTGGCTGTGCACGTGGCCCATGGTGTTGTTATAGATCCCGTCACCCACGAACTCCAGCACTGCACTATAAAGAACCCGGAAAAAAAGGGGATCAGGGTGTGTTCAGGGAACAGACTGAAGGTCCCAGGTATCCCCATATAAGTGCATTTCGGACAGCAGCCCCAACTTCCAACTCCCTCATTTGCAGGGTGCCCCATTTTCAGCCCCCAGACCTGGCTATGGTGAGAATGGACATGAGAGTTAAGTTTCGAGTGAAGGTATCGGCTGAGCCATCTTGTAGAATCCAGTCAGTGAGGCGGCCCGTAAAGAATGGAATGGCCATCTCCCCTGGAGAAAGAGAAGAGAGGTCACGCACAAATATTAAGTCTAAGTAGGTCAGTTCCAGTCAGACTGGCCCCACCACGCCTCCTCCCCCTCACCATTATCCTGGAGGGCATCAGCAGAAAGGAAACACTGACGTCTCAATCCCGAACCTAAATAGGCTGCCCTGGAACTCACTACCCTGTGGTTGCTCTACCAGAACTTTCAGGATTTTATTAGGAAGGCTGGAGATCATGAAGTAGAAAAGCCTCCTGTTAGAGATGAGGATGCCCCGCCCTTCGGCCCCAGAGCAAAGGATTTCCCCGCTTCCGGCGTGGCCCAAAGAATCAAGACCCGGTCAGCAATGGAGCCCAGAACCTCTGGCCCCCGCCAGTCCAGTGCCGTTTCTTCTACACCGAAGTGGTGTTCCAAGACCCACGCTAGGAGTCCTTCTCCTGCTCCACATTTCCCAGAACCCACGCTACTCTACCTTACTGACAATTACCTTTGATTCCTGTCCCAGTCCCCTTGTGTCCTCCCCTCTTGCCCTGCGTTCCCCTTACCAAGAGAGGAGAGGACCACCAGGACCAGGAACAGCGAGAGGCGGCGCGTCTCCGAGCCCAGGCAGCCTAGAAGCCGACGCACAGGGTTTCCAGAGCCGCCCTGACCGCCGGGCACCCAGAGGCTCCCGAGTTTGTGCCACAGGGCTGCTGCGGGCAGTGCCGCTGCATAACTGACAACGAAGGCGGTAGGGTGACTTCCCCAGTGCAGTAGCCTGGTGCTATCCGCGGACCCGGGGGCTCCCCATGAGATCAGCTCTCGGAACAAGGCAAGTCCCGGCAGGGCCAAGCCCAGTGCCGCAGCTAATGGCTTCAAAGCAGCCAGCCAGCCCTGGGCACCTGCGTTTTCGCTCTTGGAGCCAACCGTTGCCCTGAGGACCCCGCAGGCCCCCAGCCAGAGCACGGCCCAGCGGCTCAGGCCCACCGCCCAGACCCGGAGCAGTGGCAGCGCGGTGGGCACCAGCAGGGAGAATATGCGGGGCAGCGCGGTCCGGAGCAGCACCCAGTCGGCGAGAAGTAGCAGTACTGTCCCCAGCCATGCGAGAGAAGCTCCGGGGAGGCAGCGGCACCCGCGGGGAGCGGGACACCTAGAGCTAGCCATTGGCACTCGGACGCCGTCCCGGTCCCGGCCGGGTCTGGGACTCTCCGCGCCCCGGTGGGGCCTGAAGCTCCGGGTACCGCCGAGTCCTCCCCTACTGGCGGCTGGGGGAGGGAACGAGGGCGGGGCTCTCGGAAAGTCCCAGGAACAGGCTGATCCTGCGCTGGCGAGAAGCTCAGCCATTTAGGGGAAAGCGAAATCGAAAGCGGCCGCCTGCTCACTAGATAACGCCTACTTCCAAAAGTGGCCTGCCCAGACTATTTTGGTAGCAAGCGTGGAAATCAGATCTGAGAATCTCGGGAGCAGCCCTGGTGCCCAATTTTCTCCATCACGCACACCCTTCTCGCCTCTCCCTGCCTCCTGCCTTTCCACTTGCACCAGTTTTCCCACCCCAGCCTCAGGGCGGGGCTGCCTCGTCACTTGTCTCGGGGCAGATCTGCCCTACACACGTTAGCGCCGCGCGCAAAGCAGCCCCGCAGCACCCAGGCGCCTCCTGGCGGCGCCGCGAAGGGGCGGGGCTGTCGGCTGCGCGTTGTGCGCTGTCCCAGGTTGGAAACCAGTGCCCCAGGCGGCGAGGAGAGCGGTGCCTTGCAGGGATGCTGCGGGCGGGAGCACCAACCGGGGACTTACCCCGGGCGGGAGAAGTCCACACCGGGGTAATGGGTCTGGGCTTGAGGGTTGGCAGAGGGGTGGAGGAGATGCAGCGGCCAGGGGACCCTGGAAGCGCGCGCGGAGAAGTGAATGCAGAGACCAACGGGAGCGCAGGGAGGTCGCCTGTAGCAGCCAGCGCTTGCAACCCGCAATGAGCATAGAGTATTTCTTTTCTGAGGGGGGTCGTCTAGAGTGTCCGTGAAGGGAACAGGCACGCGAGGCTGGTGGAAAAAGCGGGTGCTTTGACTCTTAGCTGGAAGCGTCAACGGGAAGCTACTCTAAAGCGCTTTCGCTTTCACTCTGGTCCCGGACAGTGGGGGCTGGTTAAATCAAGAAAGGGGGTTGGGGATGGTGCAAAGAGATGAGGAAATGGTGCCCTGGGTGAAGTAGAACAGCACTTGGGAGAAGGAAATATAGGCACTTATTGAGAAGGACCAACTCATCACACAGACTTTTGATAAACTTGCCACTGGGCAACTCTTAGCCCAAGCACTGATAATGGGCGTTCTGTGTTAACTAGTGATGCCCTTCCCTAGCTTGACCCAGGAAGGCCTCTCCTTGGCCCAGATGCTGCCTTACTCCCTTCCCTGTGTCTTCCCTGCCCACTCCCATGTGCCCACTGGGGGGACTTTGCTTAGGATGGGCGCCTGGGGCAGATGGCAGCCCCAAGACTGGCTGGCTGGCTTCTGCTCTGGACTACTGCCACCACTCGTGGCTTGGGGGCGGCTTTGTTAGAGAGGAATAGCCTCTAACTTGAAGTTAACCCTGTTCTTTGACCCTCTATTCATGATAAGTCGGTCCGTCGGAAAGCATACTCAGAGGAGCGTCCTTTGGGGCCAGAGTAACTTACGGCCTGGTAAGAAAGACACAGTGAAACCACTTATAATTTGGGAAATCTCCCCTCACTGCCAAATGAGCAGTGGCAAGTAGGAAGTAGAAGTGGAAACAAGGGATAAGAGTTAGACCTGAATTTTAGTCCCAGGTCTACTATTAACTCTGTGTGACTTTGCATAAGTCGTTTGCATTTTCTGTGACTTGGTTTCCTCATTTGAACCGAGGATCTTTAAGGCTCCTTCCAACTCAATAGTAGAATAAATGTAGCTTTATCTTCCCTCACTTCTTCTTGATTCTTTTCTTGACCTGGAAAAGTCAGCTTAAACTTCTCAGTCAAATTATCTCTTGGTACAAATTTACCTCCCTGGCTGCTGAGATATGTATTTACCTCTTGATCGGAAATTCCATAACTGAAACTTTTATTTTCAACCATCTGTATGTGTTCCTTGCTGCTTCTCTCCTGCCTTGCCCCTGGCCATGCTAACCACTGCCCTCCTCGATTTTTTCCAATGTTCAGTAAATTGGAAGAGCTCACTTCTGATGAAATGGGGGGTGAGAGTGGAGGATTGTGGACCAAAAAAAAAAAAAATAGACTGACCTTGTTTCCCAAGATCATAGTCAATTACTCTGTGTTGGGTCTACACCACATCTGCACATACTATGAGCCCTTCCGTTGGAGATAATTTTCACTTGCGGAGCTGCTTCACTTCTACCTGTAGGAGCCTCATCTCCACCTCTCTACAGTGGAGAGGATTCCACTAGGCAAGTTGGAACTTAGGGACACAGTTCTTTCTGTGTTGTATCACAGCTGGGCTGTGGCATTCCCCTGCAGCCGGATGAAGCAATAGAGAAAGTGGAAAGATGAAGGGAAAAAAAGCCTGTACTGACAGTCAGCTCTGGCCTGTTACTGTGTAATCTTTGAGCCAGTCACTTCGCCTCTCTGGGAATGTTTCTTCTTCTCTAACATGAGGGCATCAAGGCTGTTCTTGCCCTGACATTCCATATTCTGTGTCTCTGCAGACCACCATCATGGCAGTGGAGTTTGACGGGGGCGTTGTGATGGGTTCTGATTCCCGAGTGTCTGCAGGGTGAGTAAAAGTGAAGATGTATGCATTTGGAAAGAAGCTAATGGCCTCAAATACACACTTTCCTTACCCATTCATGAAAAGACTGGCAAACTGGAGCCTTGGAGGAATGGAGTTGACCTTCCCCAAAAGCCACTATGATAAGCTATTTGGTGGGTGCTTGGGTCTCTGAATTTGTGGAGGAGGATCTGGGGTCTGAATGTGTATGTGACCTGTCCCAGTAGTGTACAGGGATGAGTAAAGGAATAGGGTCTGAGAGGGGGACAGGAGATAGATTTTTGAGGGTCTTCTTTCCATCTGTGCTTAGGGATCAAAAAGATGATTCTGTCAAGCAGATACCTGGTTTCTCATTTACCATATATTGAACTATTTTGTCTCTTCTCCCACTCCTAACCAATTTCCTCACATGCAAAATGAGTATATGGGGTTAGGTCAATATTACTGACATTATGTTCCATAGAACATAACTCTCTCAAGATTGTTAATAGCAAAGAAAATTGATGAGGCATATTTTTCTTACCTTAGCATTTTTTGCTTTGTTATAAAATCTAAGCCTGAAAAATAAGCCTAATTTTGATTAACATCTGCAGTGATTAATAATATCTGAGATGATTATTTGCCTCCTGCTTTAATCCAAGCATTAAACTTCATGCTATTCTCTTGTCAAAGAAATTTGAGAGACATTGAATGATCACCCTCAAAAATTCCTGAGTTCTGGTTGGGTGCAGTGGCTCACATCTATAATCTCAGCACTTTGGGATGCCGAGGTGGGCAGATATTTGAGGTCAGGAGTTTGAGACCAGCCTGGCCAACATGTTGGGACCTTGTCTCTACTGAAAATACAAACATTAGCTGGGCTTGGTGGTGGGTGCCTGTAATCCCAGCTATTCGGGAGGCTGAGGCAGGAGAATCACTTGAACCAGGGAGGCGAAGTTTGCAGTGAGCCCAAGATTGATCCACTGCACTCCAGCCTGGGTGACAGAGTGAGACTGTCTCAAAAAAAAAAAAAAAAAAAAAACCTGAGTTTTAACTTGGTGACTGTTGACTCCCTCCTGACAGCGAGGCGGTGGTGAACCGAGTGTTTGACAAGCTGTCCCCGCTGCACGAGCGCATCTACTGTGCACTCTCTGGTTCAGCTGCTGATGCCCAAGCCGTGGCCGACATGGCCGCCTACCAGCTGGAGCTCCATGGGTATGAAGCTCTGGAGTTCTGACTCCCCACCCACTAGAGCTCCCCCAACCTGCATGAATCCCTGTACAGTGTGCTGTTCCAGGAGCTGGACACTGGGAAATGGAAAAGTCTTGTTTCGGCTCTTGCTGGCACTTGAATCTGTCAGTTTCTGCATCTGTAAAGTGGAGATAATATAGTACCTCATGAGACGGTTATTTTGAGAACCACATTCTATATGTGAACACAGTTTAAAAGCTGTAAATCACTATCCTGATATAAATAATCAGGAAGAAGGTGATATTGTGACCCACCATAATATCAGGCAGTTACCATACGAGAAATCAAGGTCGTTGGGACGGAAGTAACCTTATCTGCTTTTCCCCATAAGAGCAGGGTCCTTGCAGCCAAAAGAAAGTTATGTGGGTGGGGCTGAGCAAAAGAGTGAGCAATTGAAAGCTTCTTACCAGTTGGTGGTGTGGGACTCTGGTTCCCCTGTACATGTGGGAGGGAGGCTGCAGTTTGAGCTATTGCAGTTACAGTTTTCAGGGGTCGTTTAGCAGGGATGATGGTAACAGTATAGGAGAATGAGACTTAAAATTCTATCAACCTTTATTCCTAATATTTCCCTCAGGATAGAACTGGAGGAACCTCCACTTGTTTTGGCTGCTGCAAATGTGGTGAGAAATATCAGCTATAAATATCGAGAGGACTTGTCTGCACATCTCATGGTAGCTGGCTGGGACCAACGTGAAGGAGGTCAGGTGAGTTTCTCCCAAAGCACTCTCTCCTCTGGGCTTCCCCACTCTCCTGCAGAGGAAGATGGAAGTCCTATGTCATTCTAGCAATGAGTTCCAAGGACACTACCTCTGAAAGCATAGTACTTTGGGGATATGAGATACCAGGGCTTCATTGCAGGGTGCAGAGACCACTTAATGTCTCAGTGGGAAGGAAGGGCTTGATGATTCTTTAACCTGAGGATCCCTTTCCCAGGTATATGGAACCCTGGGAGGAATGCTGACTCGACAGCCTTTTGCCATTGGTGGCTCCGGCAGCACCTTTATCTATGGTTATGTGGATGCAGCATATAAGCCAGGCATGTCTCCCGAGGAGTGCAGGCGCTTCACCACAGACGGTAACCAGCCAAGTGGAAGGGTACCTGGGGAGGGCTTTGAAACATGGGAAGGAAGTAGATTATGAGGAACAGGAAGAGAAATACAGGGGTGGCCATTTAAGTTAATGCCGGGCCTGGTACACTTTTAAGAGTGAAAAGGGGCAGGACAAATGCAAAGCTCAATGGGGTTCTTGGGCAATACGGATAAACCAGGGCTGTTCTGAGTAAATCAAATGAGGATACACAGTCACTGTGAGAACCAGTGGTGTGCTAAGCACAGTGGCTCACACCTGTAATGCCAACAATTTGGGAGGCTGAGGCAGGAGGATTACTTGAGCCCAGGAGTTTGAGGCCAGCCTAGGCAAGATGGTGAAACCCTGTCTCCACAAAAAACAATAAAAAAAAGTAAAAAAAAAAATGAACTGGGCATAGTGGTGCACACCTGTAGTCCCAGCTACTCAGGAGGCTGAGGTGGAAAGATCATCTGAGCCGGGGAGATCAAGGCTGTAGTGAGCGGTGATTGCACCACTGCGCTGCAGCCTAGGTGACAGAGAGAGACCCTGTCTGGAGAAAAAAAAAAAAAAAAAGAACCAGTGGTGTGCTGAGGTGTGCTGAGGCTGGCTTGGGACCACTCATGAGAGCGGACTGTTAAATAGTCAAGGATTTGTGAACTGCTTAGCTATTTGTAACTTGCAATTCATCATAGCGGGAGCATTTACACCACGGACATCAGCAGATGCCACATATGGAAGCCTTTTTGTAAAAAAACTGATTTACCAGCACACCACTAAATATGCCTTCCTGGAAGATGAGTTTTGAGGTGAAAGTGGTAGTAGGCATATGGATGGAGGGGGAGTAAAAAGATTTTTGAAGCTAAGCCATCCTCTCTCTCCCTCTCTCCAACTTGAAACCCTCTGCAGCTATTGCTCTGGCCATGAGCCGGGATGGCTCAAGCGGGGGTGTCATCTACCTGGTCACTATTACAGCTGCCGGTGTGGACCATCGAGTCATCTTGGGCAATGAACTGCCAAAATTCTATGATGAGTGAACCTTCCCCAGACTTCTCTTTCTTATTTTGTAATAAACTCTCTAGGGCCAAAACCTGGTATGGTCATTGGGAAATGAGTGCTCAGGGAGATGGAGCTTAGGGGAGGTGGGTGCTTCCCTCCTAGATGTCAGCATACACTCTTTCTTCTTTTGTCCCAGGTCTAAAACATCTTTCCTAGAGAAAACAAAAGGGACTAAACTAGAAATATAAAGAGCCCTATACATGACAGGTGATCACGTACTGAATGATTTTGAAGTAGTACAAACAATAAAAATTCTCATTCCGCATCATCATGCGGTCCATGATGATGAGGCCGCAAGTGAGGTGATGGGACTCTTTCCTTTAAGGCTAAGACTGACAGATAGGCAAGACACCTACACACATGAGAATTAGCTAAGACTATCAGCAAACTCGCATGTAAAAGAATTCCTTTCATAATGCATTCATTCATATTAAAGGGCAATACATGAAAAATGCTTAAATATTTTGGGGCACTTGTGAATTTCAAAGAATAATGACAATAACCAAAAGAAGCTACATTTGTGGCATTGGCTAAATGTTTTATAAATTTTATCTCTTAAAATTCAAACCAAAAAACCCCCTGTATTCACACCTGTAATCCCAGCACTTTGGGAGGTCAAGGCGGGAGGATTGCTTGAGCCCAGGAGTTAGTGACCAGCCTGGGCAACATAGTGAGAACCCCATCTCTACAAAAAAATTTAAAAATTAGTCGGGTGCGGTGGTGCATGCCTGTAGTCCCAGCTGCCTGGGAGGCTGAGTGGGAGGATCGCTTAGGCCTGGGAGTTTGAGGCTACAGTGAGCTGTGATTGCGCCACTGCACTCTAGCGTGGGTGACAGAGAAAGACCCTATCTTAAGAAAAAAAAAAGAAAAGAAAAAGAAAAAACAAACAAAAAAAACACCCAACCCTATATAGGTATTATTATTACTTCTATAGGACACATAGAGGTTTGGAAAGATTAAATCACTTGACCAAGGTCACAAAATAAGTTCTGAGGCTGGGATCTGGGATTCAGTCTTATTATATGCCCTTCCTCTACCACTCCCTAAAACTTCTCATTCCCTCAATCCCCATATATCATCTTAAAATCTGCAATAAATAGCCCCATACATTCGTTGGCACTTAGGAAACTGTTACCAGATGGCTGAGTAACTGTATTAAAACAAATTTAATTCTGCTTCTATCTTTGCCTTGCACTTCCTGAGTGACAGGAGTGAACTCTCATATCCTTTTCTGTCAAAAGATGGTGCTGAATGATTTCTAAGGTAGTTTACAGTTCCAACATTCAATGCCATTTTGCTAACAAGTGGGCAGTCAACAGGCATATTCAACAGAAATACTAGTAGGATCTCAGGCTAAACATACGAATTCAAAACTCTAAAACAATCACATCCCCCTGGAGTGTAAAGAAAAAAATCTAAAATTACAAATGCCTGGAGTTGTTTCTAGCCATGATATTTAACTTATTTGAGATTTTAAATAGCCCATTTTTCCCACTGATCACAAGTAGAAATTCTGGGCAGTATACAAAAAGCAAGTACTCAAGGACTCCAAAAAGTAAACAAAAGCAGGTGGATTGTGAAGAGGGTCAAAACTGGGAGAGGGGCCCCTCCTGGGGAGTGGGTTTTCAATGTTTTCCCCTTTTTTCCTCCCAGCTCTGCCCTGACGTCAGGCCTCAGGTGCAGAGCTGCACTGCGTGGTAGCACAAGCCCTGAGTTAACAAGAGAAATACCGGCTTTCTGGCCAGAGGAATGAAGAAAAAGGGCCCCTGCGGGCAGGAATGTGTAGGGGAATCTCCAAACTGAGAGTACTGGCGGAAATTCCCTAATTCTGAGTCTGAACCCTCAGGAGTACCAGGTTACCCCTGAGCTGCACATGCGTGTGACATGCCTTAAGGGCACAGCAAAGACTTTGAGAACTGAATGAAGATTAGATCTTTTAAAATTGGAAGACTTCGGCCAGGCGCGGTGGCTCATGCCTGTAATTCCAGCACTTTGGGAGGCCAAGGCGGGTGGTTCACCTGAGGTCAGGAGTTCGTGACCAGTCTGGCCAACATGGTGAAACCTCATCTCTACTTAAAATACAAAAATTAGCTGGGCATGGTGCCTGTAATCCCAGCTACTCGGGAGGCTGAGGCAGGGAGAATCGCTTGAACCCGGGAGGCAAAGGTGGCAGTGAGCCAAGATTGCGCCATTGCACTCCACCTGGACGACAAGAGAGAAATTCCATCTCAAAAAAAAAAAAAAAAAAAAAATTAGAAGACTTCATTTTTCTGTATTGGCCAAATAACTGTTCTAATGCCCTTCATTCCAATAAAAGGTTTGTAGCAGCTTACAGAGATAATTTAAAACAATTTTTAAAAGAAGAAAACAACACTGGGTCAGAGAGAAAATATGGTTAAGAAAAGTAAGTGAAGCCAAGGAGTGAAACTAATGGAAACTAATGGACAACGTGAATATCTTAAAAAAAAAAAAAAAGTGGTGCGCTGTCTTATACTGGCTAGCAAGAGCAGATTGCAAAGTATTCAGGATTTTTGAAGACAGTTGTTAACTATTGGTAACTTGATATTGACCACTATGGAAGTATTTATACTATAGAAATCAGCAATGCTACAAGTCAGAAGCATTGTTTTTCTTCAGAGAGCCGGTTTAACAGGACACATATTTATCAGCCAACTATAAATGGATAAAAAATAATTGGCTCCAGGCCATAGGATAGTGAAAGCAAAGAAGGAAATAAAATGAGGTACAAGATTCATAAAATTCATTTTTTAAAAGTTGCCAGAAAACCAAAAATTATATATAATAGTTCAAGCCACACAGAACATTTACTCAAATAGGACATGCATCATTCCATAAAGGTAACGCCAATAAATTCCAGAGTATCGGTATCTTAGAAACTATCTATATTCTAGGCCAGGAGCAGTGGCTCATGCCTGTAATCCCAACATTTTGGGAGGTCAAGGTGGGCAGATCCCTAGAGCCCAGGAGTTTGAGACCAGCCTGGGCAACATGGCAAAACCCCGTCTCTACAAAAAATTTAGCTGGATGGGGTGCACCTGTAATCCCAACTAGTCAGAAGGCTAGACGGGAGGATCGCTTGAACCCAGGAGGCAGAGGTTGCAGTGAGCTGAGATTGTGCCACTGCCCTCCAGCCTGGGCAACAGAGTAAGACACTGTCTTAAAAAAAAAAAAAAAAAAAAAGAAAAAGAAAGAAAGAAACTATATTCTGCAACCATACTGTAATAAAATTAGAACTTGATAACTAAAATATACTTAAAATTGTAAGTGAACAAATATATTTATCAGTAACATGGATTTAAAAGGCAGTCGTGGATGGGAGCATCGCTGGAGTCCAGAAGATGGAGGCTGCAGTGAGGCATGATTGCGTCACTGCACTCCAGCCTCAGCAATAGAGTGGGACCCTGTGTCAAATAAATAAACAGCAGTTATAAAGAAAATTAACTCTTTTAGAACCAGGTGTTAAAAATGTTACACATAAAATATACATATAAAATAATATTATAATTTCAAATACATTTATTAGAACAAGAAAAGTTAAAATAAAGGACCTAGAAATTCTACTCAAAAATTTGGAAAAAGAGAAGTTGAGCAAACCTAAAGAAATACGAAGAAAAGGAGTTATAAAGATAAGAATAGAAAGCAATGAAACAGAAATAGAGAACAAAAAACTAGGTAGTGAAAATTAACATACTTTTGATTCCAAAAGCTGCTTACTTAAAAATATTTGTAAGATATTCAGAGTTACAACAAGGCCGATTATGGATAAAGGGAGAAAAAATGAATAAACAAATACATAATGAAAAAGGGGGAACAGCTACAGATATGACACAGATATAAAGCATAGAGTGTTATGAACAAGTATATGCTAATAAATTTGAAAACCTAGGTGAGATAAGCAAATTCCTAGAAACATTTAATCTATCAAAATTAGCACAAAAAGAAATACAAAACTTGACTATACCAATGAGTATTAAAGCAATTTTTAAAGTTATCAATGGCATCTAATAAAAAAATATATTTTTGAAAATGCCCAGATGGTTTCACAGATGAGTTCTATCAAACATTCAAGGAACATGAAACTTCTATATTATATACTTTTTCCAGAAAACAGAAAAAAACTAAACCTGATTAGCTAATTTTATCAGCCGAGTGTAATCTTGACTCCAAATTGAGTTGTGGAAAACTCAAGGAAAAAAAAATAATAGACCCATTTCACCTTGAACACAGATGGGAGAAAAAAATAATTATTTATGAACCGAATTCAACAATATTACAAATAATAATACTGGGAGGCCGAGGTGGGAGGATTGCCTGAGGCCAGGAGTTCAAGACCAGCATTGTCAACATACTGAGATCCTGTGAGATCCTGTCTCTACAAAAAATTAAAAAATTAGCCAGGTGTGATGGTGAGCACCTGTAGTCTCAGCTACTAGGGAGGCTGAGGCAGGAAGATCATTTGAGCCCAGGAGTTTGAGGCTGCAGTAAGCTATGATTGCACCACTGCATTTCGGCCTGTGCAACAGAGCAAGGCCCTGTCTCTAAAAATATGTATAATAATAACAATAATAATAATGATTATGCTAATAATGATACATCAAGATCAAATAGGGAATCCTTGGAATACTAGGGTGGTTCAATATAATAAAACATATTGTTGCTATAATTTACCATATTCATAGAAAAGTCATTTCCTTTGCTCAGTCTATTAATAAAAGACATTTGGTAAAGTATATCCATTTGTGATTTTTGAAAAACAGTTAAGGAAGCAGGAATCAAAACTTTCCTATTTTGGCAAAGGTTATAATCCAAAAAATCTGTAACCACTAGTATACATAACGGAAAAACCTTGGGTATCCAAGACAAGAATGTTCACTATAATTACTAGCTTATCATAGCACTAAAGCCTATGGGCAACATAACAAGACCCCATTTACCAAAAATAAATTTAAAACATTTTAATTAGCTGGCATGGTGGCATGCACCTGTAGTCCTACCTACTTGGGAGGCCAAGGCAGGAAGATTGCTTGAGCCCAGGAGTTTGAGCTTACTGTGAGCTGTGATCACACCACTGCACTCCAGCCTGGGTGACAAAGGAAGACCGTATTTCTAAAAAATAAAAAATACAAATACAACTACAAACTAGCACTAGACCAACAGTGACTATGTACCATGAACTGAGGAATATTATTAATTCCACCATTTGCATCTGAGGTTAACAATATGTCAATGACTTAAATAACATCATATCTCTGAGAGTAATTTCTCCTATATTTCCATGACAAATGTTAGATAATTTTCCATTTTTTCCATTCAACAAAATAAACAGGAAATATAATTAAAGAGTTCAATTGAGGATTGGGATTTAGAAAGGAAGGCAGGAATTAAGAATAATCCTTAGTTCTCTTCCTAATTTGCACCTCTCTCACTGATACATATGTATTATTTTCTTTTTATGTCTTTTAGAATCTAATAAACATGTTTTATATTATATAACAAACTAGAATATATGGATTATCTTTGGTCTTCCTTACCAAGTTCTTAACTCTGCTGGCTCTGGGGCACTGGACATACCATGTAAGAAGAAAAATGTTTTAACTCCATTGAACTTATTCAGAAGCATCGGAAATTGGTTCAGCAATATTCAACTTTGCCCAGCAATGTTTATGAAAGTTTCATATATAGTATAGTATAAGTATGTGTAATACAGAATTTATGTTCTCAAAAATGAAGAGATAAAGTATGGAGATTCTAAACTCTGTTGACATAGAAGAGGGTGGATTTCTCGAAGAAACAGCCTTCTATAGAAAGTGGCTTGTATGAGTCGGGATTCTCCAGAGAAGCAGAACCAATAGGATGTTGGCAGAGAGAGATTTATTTTAAGTAATTGGCTCATACTACTGTGGGAGCTGGCACGGTCGAAATCTGCAGGTAGGCTGGAGACCCAGGAAGAGCTGATGTTGCGGCTTGAGTCTGAAGGTGGTCCAGAGGCAGAATTCCCTCTTCCTTGGAGGACCTCAGTCTTTGCCCCTAAGACCTTCAACTGATTGGAAGGGCCACTTACATTATGGAGGGTAATCTGCTTTACCCAAAATCTATTGATTTAAATGTAAATCTCATCTAAAAAATACCTTCACTGCAATATCTAGACTGGTATTCAAATGTCTAGAAACCATAGCCTAGCCAAGTTAACACATAAAATTAACTATCACTTGGCTCAAGGTGAAACTTCCAGATCAATGTGGCAGGAGTGTTGAGGAAGGAAGTGAACTCGGTTCTAACCAAGTAGGACAGCCGAATCATCACTGAAGTGTGGCACTGGCCTTTCGCCAAGGTAACATGTGGCAAGGTTTTAGGTTAGGATAGGTACCAGGCAAAAGCTGGGTGACTCGATGGAGGCTTTTGTGCCAACCTTCAGAGACTGGCTGCGTCAGACTGCCCTCAAGAGCATACAAAGGAAAAAAAGACAAATTAAAAGCCTTTAATCCAAACTCAAGACATGAATGAAAAACTGTAAATGCCTCTATAGCAGTTTTAAAGGCTATCTTTTCTCCTGCAACCCAGCACAGATATGGCTGAGGGTCAAGCCCGGGGGCTTATGATAAAGGTTATGAAGTTGTAGAAATGTTTGTTGCATCATCCAACAGCAGCTGTTGTGATAAGGCAAGACCCCTGGTTGGGATAGACCGGACCCTGAGATATGAAATAGGGACATATGAGCAGACACAGAGAAGTCTGAGTGAGAACTATGAATCACCGCACCCCCTGAGGGTCCTTGCTGGAAGAAGCAGACTCACCGTATTAGTTACCTATTGCCATGTAATGAATGACACCCGCTTAAAATAACAGACATTTACTATAAGGTGTTACTGGGACAATAGGGGATTTTTTAATATGGATTGTGTGTTTGATAATATGGTATCAATTTTAAGTATCTTGGGGGTGATGACAGTATTAGGGTTTTGCAGGAGAAATGTCCTTATTCTTAAATTATACATGACAAAATATTTAGGGGTCAAGTGGCATAATTTCCACAGATTACTCTCAAATTGTTTAACAAAATGGTTCTTCAACAGTAAATGGATAAACAAAACGTAGTCTATTCGTGCAACACAGTACTATGTAAACAATGAAACTTCATCAACTACTGAAAATGTAACAACATGGACGAATCTCATAGAAACAATATTAAGTGAAGAAGCCAGACTTGCAGAAATACATACTGTATGTTTCCATTATCTATTGCTGGGCAGCACACCAACTCCAAACTTAATGGCTTAAAACAAAAATAATCATTTTATTATCTCTCATGAATCTGTGAATTACTGGACTTTAAGAGCCACTGATGTAGTCCATGAACCAAAACACATATTCACGGCAGCCACTCCACCCAGCACCTCACACCTGTGATGTTTACTGGCTGCCCATGGGATTTGAACACCTTTAGAGTACTGTGAAATTTCCCCTACCTTTTGAGTCCTGCCTCCCTAAAGTGGAAACCAGAAAGCTCACTTCCCCTAGCCTTCTTTGAAGCTAGAGCACCTAAGTTCCACCAATTAAATTCATCCACCTAAGACTTCAGTTACAAAGGGGCCACAGGAGGAACCAGGGTGTGGGGGTTGCAGAGCACCTTTTACTGTATTTATTTCTCTGGCAAAGGTGACAGAAGAAGCAACTGTCTTTTGGGGAAGCGGTGGGTTTTTTCCTTTTTTTTTTTTTTTTTTTAAGTGAAGTTCCTGAAACAGAAGTGGTTTAGGAGGTGTCTTCAGTGGTGGCTGCAGCAACCTCCAGGTCCTAACAACAGAACCAACAGCAGCGTCTAGAAGCCATGGGGCAGCAGCAGTGGTGTGGCTCATCAGACCTGCTCTCTGCGTGGTCTGACCCTGTACATACATGTGCCTCTCATCCGTAGTTCCAGCATTTCCTCTCTAAAGTCTAGTTCTGAGAGAAATTTCTTTGGTAGACTTTTCAAAGTTTTATCAAACTCAAAGAGGGAACCAGCAAGAATACAAGAGCCTTGATCCAAAGAGTATTTGAAAAACAGAGCTGTATCTCTCTGTGAGGAAATAATTTCTAGGCTAGAGATTCAAAATGGCTAACGTGCTAGAGGGCAATAAAATCATAACCTTGGTGTTATCTTCTTTACCGGAGAAAAAGAGAAAGCCAGCATCCCTTATCAGCTCTCTGCTGATTAACCTCTAATCGCACAGGGCTGGCCGGGTTCGTCTTAGGCAAATTACAATCCCTGAAACACTCTGGTTTTGATCAGGCAGAATTATGAGCAAAGGTTCAAGTGTGATATAAAATAATCAAGCACGTACAATTTTGCCTTATTTATAATTTTGAAACACTTTTCCTACACAATTTCTGACCTTAAGGGGCAGAATTAACCAAATAAAACTTTTCAGAAATGCTCTAATTCAGTTCCACTCATTTTATCGTCTCTATTTGGCCTGTTTTAGGGCTAAACCCAGAAGCAAAATCTTCTTCAAAATGAATGTATTGACAGTCACCATGCCAGACTTGGAGTACGAACAAGAGCATCCTTTTACCCTTACTGAAACCTATGTGGTCACTAAAACATATATCAATAATATTTTTAACCTGGACAAAATTAATCTAGAAAATTGAGCTACTGTTTTTTATTTGTCAGCTTTTACCACATTGTGGGTTTGAGACACAGGTAGTTCTTTTGATAGTACAGCGTTAATTTAAAATATAAAAATCATGCCAAACACATCTAATTACTTTTAGCTTCCTTCACAGTAGGCGGAGGAAGGTGAAAAATTAAGCCTTTTGCGCCACCTAGTGGCCAAATGGGTAGTGGCTGTCTAGTGAGAAAAAACAAAGATTTGGGGGCGTGAAAAATAGCTTGACAGTGTTAGTATTCTGAATTCAGGGTATGAGGTTGGAAGAAGGCAACAACAAAAAAGAATTTTCAGAGAAACTGGTCACTTAAGTGCATAGGTACCTGAGAGTGAGCAATTGTTATAACTTTGATATCTCAATAACCAGAGTGACAATAAAACATTTGAAAATAAACATAAAGAAGGTAACAATTATAAGAAACTTTAGGTGTTTCAGAAGCAAATGGATGCTATCAGCACAAAGCACTAAAAGTTATCAAGGTATTAAGTGAGAGCATTCTGATAAGAAACCACCGCTAGCTGGGCAGATTATGCTAAAGGGAAAGAAAAAGTTTTTTCTCTGTCTTTAAGTGTAGAGTGTATATTCCAAGATCAATTTTAAATTACAAATCCTCTCCTTTTTTGCTTATTAATTCGAATTCATCATTACGTGTGTGTTTTACAGAAATACATATATAGTTGAATGACAATTTTGTTTAAAACTTTCCACTTTAGTTTTAAAACGTAGTTAATCTTATCAATACAATACATGAATGTATATCCACACTAAGTTTACCACCTTAATTTGAGTTTTGCAAAAATTAAATATGGACAAAGGTATATATATAGAAAGCCACTTAGTGACCCAATAATCTTTCTCTCTATGATACACTTAAGAATTTTTTAGACAATAAAAAGTCACTTATTAACTAGCTCAGTGAAAATTAGTCCAAAGTAACAAAATCATTTGAGGCTGCAAAACAACAATATCACTATTGATATTAGGAGTTTTTCAAAGAGGTAAAATTCTAAAATTTTTACATAGAGTGCAAGCTAAGTAGCTAAGTCAAATGACTTGCAATATTTTTCTGAAATTCACAAGAGCCAATAGTTTAAAAAAAGCATCTCATAACATTTAATTAAAAATATACATTTTCATTTAAGTTTGCTTCCCACAAACCACTGACACACTCATTGACACAGTGAATGAGTCTAGTGACAAGAAACAAATCCTTTTTGTTAGGTCACTTCTAACACTCTGCCTCCAACAAAATAAAGAGGACCTATTCAAGCTGTCAGCTATTATATCATTTAAAGTAATTTTGGGAAGGAGGCCAGGCAGGAGGATCGCTTGAGGCCAGGAGTTCAAGACCAGCCCTGGGCAACATAATGAGACCCTGTCTCTATGAATAATAATAATAAAATTAGTCAGGCATAGTTCGATGTGTCATAGTCCTAGATACTCTGAAGGCTGAGGCAGGAGGATCACTTGAGCCCAGGAGTTCGAGGTTACAGTGAGCTATGATCGCACCACTACACTCCATCTTGGGTAATGGGGCCAGCCAAACACCACAGAAAAAACTGCGACTCCACCCCCACCAGCTAAGGTCAAATGAGGAGCCTAGACTTTCACCCTCACCAGGCTGTCATAAGGAACCCAACACTTCAACACACACATGCACACACACCAGGATGGTGTCAGAGAAAGTGAATAGGGAGTCAGGATGGTCATGCCCTCTTGGTGAAAATGTACTCCTTTCCCCAAGCCCCTGAAATGTCAATGGAAACCTAGACTTCCATTCCTCACCCAACAGTAATGAAGCATCTCTTCCCCTCTCCTCTAGGGTGATGTCAGACAATGCCTAATGGAGAGTCAGGATTTTCATCACCACCCAGAGTTAATCCAGCAACCACTCCCTGATACCTACCACTCACTCCTCCACTCCACTGTCCCATCTTGGTGTCAATAAAGGTCATGTGAGGGATAGTAAGTGGCACTCCTCTCCCAACCAACCAGGGAGGTATTAGTGGGCACCTAATAGGGAGCCAGAATTTCTGTCCCCACTCAGTAATAATGGGGACCTATCTGAGGTGTCAATGAAGGCAGAGTGAGAAGCCTGGACTCCTACCCCTACCTGGCGTCATGAAGCTCACCTGCCTACCTGCTGGAGAGGTGTTAAAAGAAGCCAGCTAAAACAGTTTAAATAAGACCAATAGCCTTATAACATAATGCCTGAAATGTCCAAGTTTCAATTGGAAATTATTTGTCATATCAGGAACCAGGAATATCTCAAATTGAATTTTTAAAAGACAATAAAATAGATGCCAAAACGGAAAGAAAAGCCTGATGAAGATTTTAAAGCCACCATTATTAAAATGCTTTGATGAGCAATTAACACTTAAAAGAATGAAAAAAATAGGATGTCCAGTTCAGTGGTTTAAAAAAAGAAAGAAGAAGAAAAGAGCAGAAAAGAAAAAAATAGGATGTTTCAGCATAAAAATAGGATATATACGGAAGAAAACGTGGAAATTTTAGAACTGAAAAGTGCAATAGCCAAAATAAAAAGCCCAGTAAATAAGCTCAGCAGCAGAAGGAGAGAACAGAGGAAAGAATTAGCTACCTTGAAGACACAGCAATAGCAATCACTTAATCTGAACAAAAGAAAGAAAGAAAATACACTGGAAAAAATGGACAAAGCCTCAGGGACCCATGGGGCTATAACAAAAGATTTAATGTTCATGTACTCAGAGTCCCAAAATGAGAGGAAAAAGAGAGTGAAGCTGAAAAAAATTATCAAATAAATATGGTTGAAAACTTCCCAAATTTGGCAGAAGACATAAACCTAGTGATTTAAGAAGGTGAGTGAACCCCAAATAGGACAAACCCAAAGAAAGCCACACCAAAATCATAGTAATTAACTAAAAATTAAAGATAAAAAGAATCTTGAAAGCAGTGAGATAAATGACATCTAACAGGTGAAAAAAATGACAGAGCAAAATTTTCATCAGAAACTGTGTAAGCCCGAAGGAGGTCACCACCTTTTTCCAGTGCTGAAAGGAAAAAAAAATATCAACTTAGAACACTATATCAGCAAAAATATCCAGGGAAATTAAGACATACAGAGATGAGGGAAAACTAACAGAATTTGTCACTAACAGGTCTACCCTAAAAAAACAAAAAGTTAAATTGAGGACAGTTGGAACATCAGGAAGGAAGAAAGAACATGGCAAGAAAAAATATGGGTTAAAAAATGGACTTTACTTCTTCTCTTGAGTTATTTAAATTATAGGATTGAAGAAAAACGTATAATACTGTATCATATGGTTATAAATGTATATAGAGAAAATATTACAGGCAATTATAAATGAGGGAGGGTAAACAAAGAGAGAAGAAATTTCTACACATCACTCAGACTGGTAATTAATGACAATAAATAAGTTACATAAATATAATGTAATACCTAGAACAACCACTAAAAGAGCTATCCAAAGAGGTACACACACATACACACACACAGCTATAGATAAATTAAAATGGAATTTTAAAATTATTTAGGAAGCAATGAAAAAGAAAACAAAGAAATGAAAAACAGAGAGAACAAACAGAAAACAAAAAATAAAATGTCAGACTTAAGCCTGGACATAACAATATTATAGGAAATATAAATCGCCTAAATACATCAATTTTAAGAGACAGAGCTTGGCAGAATAGATTTAAAAATATGACTCTGTCAGGTGCGGTGGCTCACGCCTGTAATCCCAACACTTTGGGAGGCCAAGGCAGGTGGATCACAAGGTCAGGAGATGACCATCCTGGCTAACATGGTGAAACTCCATCTTTACTAAAGGTACAAAAATTAGCCAGCTGTGGTGGCACAAGCCTGTAGCCCCAGCTACTCGGGAGGCTGAAGCAGGAGAATCTCTTGAACCCGGGAGGTGGAGGTTGCAGTGAGCTGAGATCACACCACTTCACACCGCTGCACTCCAGCCTGGGCAACAGAGCGAGACTCCGTCTCAAAAAAAAAAAAAAAAAGACTCAATTATTTGCTGTTTATGATAAACTCACTTCAAATATAATGATATAGGCGGTTTATAAGTTAAAGGATAGAAAAACATATATCAGACAAAAAATAATAAAGGGAGGCTATATTAATATCAAATAAACTTAGAACAAAGAAAATTACTAGAAATGGATAGGAACACTATGTAATAATAAAAGGGTAAATCTACCAAAAAGACATAGCAATCTTAAATATGTATGCACCAAACAACAGGGCTGCAAATTATGTAAAGCAAAAACTGATAGAACTGAAAAGAAAATAGGCAAGTCAACAATGATAGTTGAAGACTTCAATAGTTTTCTCTCAACAATTGATTAAACAAATAGACAAAAATTGAGAAAAAACATAGAAGAATAAACAACATCAAACCATAAGATCTAATCAACATTTATAGAACACACCACCCAACAACAGAAGATACATTATTTTCTTTTTCGTTGCTTTTAGTAGATTCCACGAGATTTTCCTTTTTCTTTTTTCTTTTTTTTCCTTTTATTTTAAGTTCAGGGGTACATGTGCAGGTCTGTTACATAGGTAAACAGTGTCATGGAGGTTTGTTGTACAGATTATTTCATCATCCAGGAATTAAGTCTAGTACCCATTAGTTATTTTTCCTGACCCTCTGCCTCCTCCCAACCTCCACCCTCCAATAGGCCCCAGTATGTGTTTTTCCTCTTTGTGTCCATGTGTCCATCATTTAGCCCCCACTTATGAGAACATGCAGTATTTGGTTTTCTGTACCTGCAATAGTTTGCTAAGGATAATGGCCTCCAGCTCCATCCATGTCCCTGCAAAAGACGTGATCTCATTATTTTTATGGCTGCATAGTATTCCATGGCAGAATACACTTTTTTTTTTTTTTTTTTGAGATGGAGTTTCACTCTTATTGCCCACACTGGAGTGCAATGGCACAATCTCGGCTCATTGCAACCTCTGCCTCCCAGGTTCAAGCAATTCTCCTGCCTCAGCCTCCTGAGTAGCTGAGATTACAGGCACACACCACCATGCCTGGCTAATTTTTTATTTATTTATTTATTTATTTATTTATTTATTTTTTGTATAGATGAGGTTTCACCATGTTGATCAGGCTGGTCTCAAACTCCTGACCTCAGGTGATCCACCCACCTCAGCCTCCCAAAGTGCTGGGATTGCAGGCATGAGCCACTGCACCCAGCCAGAATAACATTTTTTTAAGTGCCCACAGAATATATGCCAAGATAGACCATATCTAAGACAATAAAAGACCAACAAATTTTTTAAATAAAATCATAAAGAAAGTGTTCTCCTACCACAATGGAACCAAACCAGAAATCAACAACAGGAAAATATCTAAACATTTGGAGACAAAACAACACACTTAGAAATACATGGGTCAAGGAGGAAGTCTCAAGGAAATTTTTTAAAAATACACACAATAAACACAACTAAACAAAAATGAAAATATGCCATATCAGAATTTGTGGGATACAGTTATAGTAGTTATAAGAGGTAAATTTAAGTTCCAGGATACATGTACAGGATGTGCAGGTTTGTTACATAGGTAAACATGTGCCATGGTGGTTTGCTGCACATATCAACCCATCACCTAGGTATTAAGACAAGCATGCATTAGCTATTTTTCCTGATGCTCTCCCTCCCTCCAACCTCGCCCCAGACAGACCCCAGTGTGTGTTTTTCCCCTCCCTGTGTCCTTGTGTTCTCATTGTTCAGCTCCCACTTATAAGTGAGAACATGTGGTGTTTGGTTTTCTGTTCCTGCATTAGTTTGATGAGGATAATGGCTTCCAGCTTCATCCATGTCTCTGCAAATAACAGGATCTCATTCCTTTTTATGGCTGTATAGTATTCCATGGTGCATATGTACATTTTCCTTATCCAGTCTGTCATTGATGGGCAGTTGGGTTGATTCCATGTCTTTGCTATTGTGAATAGTACTGCAATGAACATACAAGTGCATGTATCTTTATAATAGAATGATTTGTATTCCTTTGGGTATATACTCAGTAATGGGATTGCTGGGTCAAATGGTATTTCTGGTTCTAGATCTTTGAGGAATTGCCACACTGTCTTCCACAATGGTTGAACTAATTTACATTCCATCAACAATGTAAAAGCATTTCTATTTCTCCACAACCTTGTCAGCATCTGTTGTTTCTTGAGTTTTAATAATCACCATTCTGACTGGCGTGAGATGGCATTTCATTGTGGTTTTGATTTGCATTTGAGAAGTAAATTTAAAGCACTAACTGCATACATTGGAAAAGAGGAAAAGTCTCAAACCAATAATCTAAACTCTCACCTCAAGAATCTAGTAAAAGAATAACAAAATAAAAAGCAAGCAGAACAATGAAACTGAAAACAGAAAAACAAAAGCAAAAAAAAAATCAATGAAGCAAAGAGCTGGCTCTTTGAAAGATTAATAAAATTGGCAAACCACTAGCAAGACTCAGAAAAAAAGACGACAGAAGATAGAAGCTACCAACATCAGAAATGAAATGGGATATCATCAAAGATTCTACAGACATCAAAAGGATAACAAAAGAATACTATGAACAATTCTACACACATAAATTTGACACTTAAATTAAATGGATCATTTTCTCAAAAAATATAAAGTGCCACAACTCACTAAATATAAAATAATTCAAAAATGTCTACACCTATTGAGGAAATTGAATTCATAATTTAAAAACTCACAAAAGGAAATATTTAGGAACAAATAGTTTCAATGAAGAATTCTACCAAAGATTTAAAGAAGAATTAACACCAATTAATCTCTTCCAGAAAATAGAAGCAGAGGAAGCATTTCCCAGTTTATTTTATAAAGCTAGAATTACCTCAATACCAAAACCAAACAATGACAATGGGAAGAAAAGAAAACTGTAGACTAATATTTCTCATGATGCAGCAATCTTTAACAAAATATTAGCAAGTGGAATTTACCAACATATAAAAAGAATTATATACAATGACCACGTGAGAGTTATCCCAGGGATGCAAAGCTGGTTGGATATTCACAATTAATTAATGTAATCCATCATATTATAGGCTGAAGAGGAAAATTTACTTGTTCATATCAATTGATGAAGAAAAAGTATTTAACCCACTTTAACACCCATTCATTATTTTTTTTTAATCTCAGAAATATAGGAGTAGAGGAGATCTTTCTTTACTTGATAAAGATCGTCTACAAAAATCCTATGGTGAACATACTTGATTCTGAAAGACTGAATAGTTTCTACCTAAAATCAGGAACAAGGCAAGAATGTCCACTCTCACCACTCTTATTCACAGTGTTGGAAGTTCTAGACAGTGCAATAGGCATGAAAAAGGAGATTAAAGGCATACAGATTGTGAAGTAAGAAATAAACAGCTCCCATTTGTAAGTGACATGATTGTCTATGTAGAAAATCACAAGGAAGCTACAGAAAAACTTCTAGATATGTGATTTCAGCAAATTAACAGAATACAGGATAAACCAGTATCAATTGTATTTCTACATACTCACAATGAACAAATGATACATATATATATATATATTTTTTTTCTTTTTTTCTTTTTTTTTTGAGACGGAGTCTCACTCTGTCGCCCAGGCTGGAGTGCAGTGGCACGATCTCGGCTCACCACAAGCTCCGCCTCCGGGGTTCACGCCATTCTCCTGCCTCCGGAGTAGCTGGGACTACAGACGCCTACCACCATGCCCGGCTAATTTTTTGTATTTTTAGTAGAGACGGGGTTTCACCGTGTTAGCCAGGATGGTCTCGATCTCCTGACCTTGTGATCCGCCCACCTTGGCCTCCCAAAGTGCTGGGATTACAGGCGTGAGCCACCGCGCCTGGCCCAAAAATATAAATATATTATTTACAATTACTCAAATACATGAAACACTTATGTGTAAATCTAACAAAACATGCAAGACTTGCAAGCTAAAAACTATGTAATGCTGGTGAATGATATCAAAGAAGATCTATTCAGTCTCTATCTATGTGGAGAGAAATACTGTTCATGGATTGGAAGATTCAATATAGTAAATATGTCAATTCTCCCCAAACCAATATACAAGTTTAACACAATTCCAATCAAAATCTTTGCAAGATTTGTTAATTATAGGTAGGATTACTCTAAAATTTACATGGAAAGGCAAAGGGACTAGAATATCTAAAATATTCTTTTTTCATATTATTATATTTTATTGTAGTATGTGTAGTGTATACTAACTTAAAGGGAAAAAATGTAAACAAAATGAAAGACATGGGGAAAATGGCATCTTGCTTTAATCTTCAACTTAAAGTTACCCTTAACAATTCATTTATACCATTATGCCAAATTGTAGTCATCCCTGCAGAATTTTAGACAAATGAAAATGGACAAGGTAACACCAAAGAGATTAAGCACAGAAAGTGATATTGATTAAAAAGTTGAAAGTAAAATCTACCTTGGCTGGAACTGAACATTCAGATCCATCTCTAGAGGAAAATCTAACATGAATCATATGGTTCCTATTTTGACTAGTTCATAGCATATCAATTAGCAACTTATGACTTGAAAATACTTTTTCTCAGCTGCATTTGACTACCTAAAATCCTACCGAGCACGCTGTTTGGCATGTCTTACTCCTCTGAAATCATCATCTACTTTCTAAAAACCAGAAAATTAGTTTGCTTGTGATTTAAAATTCAAAAAAGTTTGTAGAAAACACAAAAAGAATCAACTATTTAAAGTCTCATCCTTTTCTTCTCTCTAAAACAGCTACTTCTACTAAAAGAAGAGTATGTGGATACTTTCTAAGAACTCAAAAACGAGAAAACCAAAATCAGAGGGTGCATGAATATATGTGCACAGGTATGTACAGATTTAATCTCTATATTCCCTAAAACATATTTAAACAGGTAATCCCAGCATTCTAAATTCAGAAAGCAAAAATAAACAGTTTTGTTTCTAAATCAGTGGTATTACTAGCTGAAATGTTTAGTAGAATACTGCACCTATAGTTCAGCAGTACTTTGATTATGTACCATTTAAGAAATCAAAATAATAAGCACATTCTTCTAACAGCAAAGAATTGTCCCACTTTTTATTTTGACATATTGATATTTCCATAAACTTGCAAGTGGAAAATAAGCTGTTCAATAAAAGCCTTCTTACATATATAATATACAGAAATTATTTTAGAAGTCTGTTCATATAACAGATTATTTTGGCACTAACAAAAATTGTATACAATCCATCAGTTGTATGGCTAGAAATGAAACCATCACTAAACCAAGACACACAGGGCTTTCCTGCACTTAGTTTCAGGAAAAAGTTCCAAGTAATTCTTACTGTGTTAGAAGAATAAAGTACATTTGTCATAGTATACATTATCATATTCCCTTAAAGCAGGGACTAAAGTTTTTAAATTAAACAATGTCCAGGCTTACTTCTGTCTGTACATTCAGGAATAATCATATCACTGGTTACATACAATTCTCTCCTCATGCAAAAAAAAAAAAAAAAAACCTCAAAAAAAAAAACCTGTTGTTTTCTTAAGTCTAATTAAGCCAAACAAACTATTAATAGCAATTTAATTAGCAAGCTATAAATCAGAGAGGTATAAAAATTCAGCAGTTAAACTGTATTTCCCACCTATAGTACTGCTGCTACTCAATCATTTTCTTCATGTATTAGAAGAATTAATAGGCATTGATGGTCAAAATAAGAATTTCAATATTGCAGCAAATGACAGAAGAGTGAGCGAAAGAGTTCCTAATGTGTGACAGTCTTAATGATTCTTTAAAAGGTAAAGGATTGTATGCATGTGTGTGGAAAGGAGTAGGAAATAAAAGTAGGAGGTTAAGACAGGTATTTAAAGGGAATGCCAAGATAGCTGCATTAGAATCTTTATTTTTTAAAAAACTGAAGTCTGCCCAGAGTACCAAAAACATTAAAAAAAAAGAGCAGACATTGGTGCAAGTTTAACCTGTGAGAAAAAAGCTAGTTTTGATGAGAAAAAGTTCAGTCTTTTCCTTGTAAATACAAAGAAATGCAACAGGAATTTTAAAGGTAGTAGGCCAGAAAATGTAACAGTAACTCTTACAATCCTTTTCTTTTTTTTTTTTTTTTTTTTTTTTTTTTTTTTTTTGAGACGGAGTCTCGCTCTGTCGCCCAGGCTGGAGTGCAGTGGCACAATCTCGGCTCACTGCAAGCTCCGCCTCCCGGGTTCACGCCATTCTCCCTCCTCAGCCTCCCGAGTAGCTGGAACTACAGGCGCCCGCCACCATGCCTGGCTAGTTTTTTGTATTTTTTTTAGTAGAGACGGGGTTTCACCGTGGTAGTCAGGATGGTCTCGATCTCCTGACCTCGTGATCCACCTGCCTCGGCCTCCCAAAGTGCTGGGATTACAGGCGTGAGCCACCGCGCGAGGTCACAATCCTTTTCAATTAAACAGACAAATCAAGTTGAAGACAAGTGTTAAAATACTATTCAGCCTGAATATTTATCAGCATACATATCCTGTTGTTCAACTGGCTTTTGGTTAAAAAAAAAAAAGTCAACAAACTTTATAAGAGCTATCACCACATTTAGAGTGATGAAAATAAATTAGTTCCCCCCCAAAGATATTGTTTAACCTCTAAAGCATGAAAAGCTATATAATATACAAATTAACCAGTATTTTTACAAAAGTAATACAGTTTTGGACTGATGATATTACACCGTATTTGTGGTAAAGTACTAGGCACAAGAATATATATATCAATTAGGCATTTTCAGTCTAATCAGTCTTTAAGGTTTTCATTTAATTCTTGGCAATATATAATAACTGGTATGCACTTTGGTACTTAAGTCATGACTTGTGGAGAACGAGAAGCAATGTATTATAGCAACGGGGTTCATATCTAACAAACAATAAGAGTGTTGAACAAATCCCTTCTATGAACTTCGTGATTTATTTTGCTGTTGGTCACTTGCAGTAGATCCTTGATTTGATTCTTCCGTATTCATGCTTTCTCCATGTGCAGTCTCTAACATTTCTTCAACTTTGTCATCATCGTGTAGGTCTTTTGAAATTAATTGTCTAGCTAGTTTGATATTGAGTCCTTCATTGTAGTGAAGCGTCCTTCTCATTTCAAATTGTCGCTTTTTTTCTCGTTCTTCAGGTGAGAGGTCACTATCCTCCTCTCCACTGCTTTCTTGTTCCTGAACCTGATACTTTGGCTCCAAGCCTTCAGCAGCAGCTAAGTTCTTAGCCAAGCTATCTGTTGCCATAGCTTCAGTGGTTTCTGTATCACTACATGCATCTTCATCATCACCCATCGTACTATGGTAAGGAGTGCTTGGTTCATCTATTTTCATTAAACCATAGTCTTTGTCTGCTGGACGATATGTCGCCAGGATGTTCATTTCATCCCACTTCTGGGATTTTTTGCTCAGCTGCTCGTGGACACTCCCACGGGGATGTTCGGCCGACGCCACCATAGAGGAAGTCGTAGAGGTGTTGTCCTTCAGGATCCCCTTGAGGGGCCGTTGCGAGGCCGTGGAGGCCGCCATTGCCGGGTGCTCCGCCTGTCGGCTCAGGGTCGCTGCTTGGCGTGGGGTCCGCGAACAGAAGGGTCGGCACTAGCAGAGACCAGCAGGCAGACGCGGAGCCCGCTCAAGGCTAAAGCGGCCGCACCTGCTGCCTCGGAAAGGGGTACCGGAGCGGTTGTCAAGACACAATGACCCCGACGCCAGACTCAAGCGGGGAAAAGCGGGCCTAGAGCTCCAGGGCGGGAGCGACGCCGACGCCTAAAACATTCTTGAAAAAGAAGAATAAAGTGAGTTGAAAATCAGTCTGCCCTATTTCAAGTATTGTTTTATAGCTACAGTAATCAAGACTGTGTGTTACTAGCAGAGGAATGGACACACAAATCAGTGGAACAAAATAGAGAACGTAGAAAAAGACCCACACAATCTGCCCAAATGATTTTTGAAAGAGGTGCAAAAGGAAGTCAGTGGAAGAAAAATAGCCTTTTTCACAAATAGTGAATTGAACAATGGTGAAATGGAACAATTGGGCATCCATAGGCAAGATAATAAAATAAAAATGAAACTTGACCTAAGTCTCACGCCTTATGCAAAATTTAATTCCAACTGGATTGGATTGCTTGAGTCCAGGAGTTCAAGACCAGCCTGGGTAAGATAGCAAGACCCTGTCTATACACAAAAATGAAAAATAATGTTGGTGTGGTGGCTCCTGCCTGTAGTCCCAGCTACTTGGGATGCTGAGGCAGAAGGATTGCTTGAGCCCAGGAGTTCGAGGCTGTCATAAGCTGTGACACACCACTGTACTCTAGCCTGGGTGACTGAGCAAGACTCTGTTTCAAAAAAAAAAAAAAATGTCAGAGAAATGCAATACCTTAACCTTTACCAGATACAATTAATTAAAATAAATAAACAAAATGGATTATGGAGTAAATGTAAAGCATAAAACTCTTAAATTTTAGAAAAATAGAAAATATTTGAGATATAGGTCTAGGCGAAGAATTCTTAGGCTTGACATTGAGAGCATGATCTATGAAAGGAAAAACTGATAAATTGGATTTCATCAAAATGTAAAACTGTTGCTTTGTGAAGATCTGGTAAGTGGATGAAAAAATGAGCTACACAGTAGGAGAAAATATTTGCAAACTATGCATTGAACAAAGGACTAGTATCTAGAGTATATAAAGAACTCTCAAAACTCAACAAAGAAAACACATTAAAAATCCAATTAGAAAATAGGCAAAAGACTTAAGGTAATATTTCACTAAGGAGGATATAAAAATGGCAAATTAGCACATGAAAAGTTGTTCAACATCATTAGCCATTAGGGAAATGCAAATTAAAACCACAATGAGATAATCGCTCCACACCTATCAGGATGGCTAAAATAAAAATAGTGACAATGGGCTGGGTGCGGTGGCTCACACCTGTAATCCCAGCACTTTGTGAGGCCAAGGTGGGCAGATGACCTGAGGTCGGGAGTTTGAGACCAGCCTGGCCAACATGAAGAAACCCTGTCTCTACTGAAAATACAAAAGTAGCCAGGTGTGGTGGCACATGCTTGTAGTCCCAGCTACTCGGGAGACTGAGGCAGGAGAATCACTTGAACCCGGGAGACAGAGGTTGCGGTGAGCAGAGATCGCACCATTGTACCTAGCCTGGGCAACAAGAGTGAAACTCTTTCTCAAAAAAAAAAAAAAAAGGCGACAATGCTAAATGCTGGCAAGGAAGAAGAGATACTGGATCTCTCATAATTTCTGATGGGAATATAAAATGGTACAGCCACTCTGGAAGATGATTTGGCAGTTTCTTAAAAACAAAACAAAACCAACAACAACAACAAAAATCCAACAACTAAGCATACTACTACCATCCTGCCCAGCAACTGTACTCCTGGGTATTTAGCCCCAAGAAATGAAAACTTGCATACACAAATACACAAGCACAGACAATGCCTTCACACAAAACCTTGTATGCAAATGTTTGTCTAACTGCCTACTCATTGTAGCCAAAGATAACCCAGATATCCTTTAACAGGTAAATGGTTAAACCAACTATTGTACACTTATACCATGAAATAATACTCAGCAATAAAAAAGAATGACTGATACACACAACAACCTGGATGAATCTCCAGAGAGTTATACTGAGTGAAAAATGCCAGTCCCAAAAGGTTACATACTGCAGTGAGCTGTGATCACGTCACTTCACTCCAGCCTGAGCAACAGAGCAAGACCCCATCTCTAAAAATAGATAAAGAAACAAAAAAGATGGATTACAGAGTAAATGTGAAGTGTAAAACTATTAAAATTTTAGAAAAATAGGAGAAAATCTTTGAGATGTAGGGCCAGGCAAAGAATTCGTAGGCTTGACATCAAAAGCATAATCCAGGCTGGGCGTGGTGGCTCACGCCTGTAATCCCAGCACTTTGGGAGGCCGAGGCAGGCAGATCATTGAGGTCAGGAGTTCGAGACCAGCTGGCCAACATGGTGAAACCCGTCTCTACTAAAAATACAAAAATTAGCTAAGCAAGACGGCACATGCTTGTAATCCCAGCTACTCGGGAGGCTGACTCATGAACATCACTCGAACCTTGGAGGTGGAGGTTGCAGTGAGCTGAGATGGTGCCACTGCACTCCAGCCTGGGTGACAGAGTGAGACTCTATCTCAAAAAAAATAAATAAATAAATAAAATAAACTTTATTGAAAAGAAAAAAAAAGCACAATCCATTTGTATAACATTTTGTATTAAGAAGCTTGAAATGACAAAAGTACAGAAATAGAGAAAAAATTCATAGTTGCCAGTGGTTAAGGAAGTGATGGGGGTGGGAAGGAGGTGAACCGACCATAAAAGGGCAAGATAAGGGATACTTGGAGTGACAAAAATACTGTCTTGACTGTAATATTGACATTGACACAAATGTCAATATCCTGATTGCAATACTGTACTGAAGTGTTATAAGATGTTACCATCAGGGAAACTGGATTAAAGGGTAAAAGGTTCTGTCTGTATTATTTCTTACAACTGCATGTCACTCTCTAATTACCTCAAAATAAAAAGTTAAATTTAAAAAACATGTATGAGGATGTGCATAGTTTTTCAAAATACATTTAAGAAGTTCATGAGTGGAAAGTTTGAGTGAATAAAAATTATATCTGGAATTCTGGTTTGCAAATTAGCCTGGGAAATGTAGCCTGACTCAGTGTGACTCAGTTCTATACCACTGTTCTCAGCTCTGCTGTTGCTCACTGCTAACGTTGAAGCCAAATATCTCTTGAGTTGCAGGGCAACCAAGATCCCATGATCCAATGTTGCTCTCACTCACCTTGGCCTTTGAGAGAGAACAGGAAAGAAGATGGAGAAGAAGGATTTTCCCTTTGCCCCATTTTCCTCTTTTTGGGCTGAACTGTGTCCCCCTATAAGTTCATAATGTTGAATAAACCCAGTACCTCAGAACGTGAATTTTTTTTGGAGTTAGAGTCTTTAAAAAGATAATTAAGTGAAAATGAGGTTATGAAAGTAGGTCCTAATATAGCTAGTATCCATATAAAAAGAGATTAGGACATACATACACAGGGGGCAGTCCATAGGAAGATGCAGGGAAAAGACAACCATCTGCCAGCCAAGGACAGAGACCTCGGAAGAAACCAACCCTGCTGACACCTTGATCTCACATTTCTAGACTCCAGAGCCAGGCGGCAATAAGTTTATGTTGTTTAAGCCATTCAGTCTGTGGTATTTCTTATGGTAGCCCTAGCAAACTAATACATCCTCCTATATTTGGACATAGGCCTGTCCTTCTTGATTAAAGGAATGTAAAAATAAGACTGTTGTCAAAGTTTTAACAAAACTTTATGAAGGCTTGGGCAAAATTGAAAAGGAAAAGACAATAGAAAATTCTTCCATTCTGATCACAGATATTACAGATGTAAGAGATCACAGGCTCCAGTCATCTAAGGGTTCTCCAACTAGAAATAGACCTGGTATGGCTGATGCTACTAATACCTGCCATGTTCCTTGGGCCTTACCACTGTAGTGCACACTGGCTGGACATTTGCATCATTCCTGAAGGCTTCCTCAAAGCCAAGAAGGGCCACTCTGCCCGACTCACAGCAGACTAGAAGGGCCGAAGAGTTCACGTGTCAGGCAGCAGCCTTCAACCAATGGGAATTGATGTACAATTGCCCAACTCCCTCCTTCCGTGGCTGGGTTAACTCTGAGGCAAGTGCTTTCCCAGAATTTCCCCAGGGGATTAAGTTCCAGTCATTCACCCTTCGTTGGCTGTTTTCCCTTCCCAATCTTTTACTCAGCTGCTACTGAAGTTTCATGCACCTCCAAAATAAATTACTTTCATTCATGTCCCTGTGTCAGGGACTGCTTCTGGAAGAAACCAAACGAATGCACCCCGGGTTAGCTTCTAATTTGCTTCACAGCAGTAAAGGTCAACTTTTCTTTGCATTACCCAAGAGAAAACTTAGCCATTACCTCATCATGGTGCTTGGATCCCTAGAACCCTGTCTCTCATGAAACCCTGATTCCTTCCTTTCCTTGTCAAGATCTTTCCTTACCCAGCATGGATGACAGTCCATTCTATTGAGTACTAAGAAAAGAGAGTTTAGAAACTGTCAGAAATATTTTTATTTCATTCAAATTTGTAATATTCCGTAGACCAGAAACAGCACACTCTTTGATCCCATCCTTGTATGCCCAAAATATCTGAGTTGGAGGAGGCACTGACCCTCTGTCACACAGTTTAACTGGATTACAGAGTGCAAGACCCCAAAACCAGTTCCTGACACTCTTTCTGTCTTCAGCCTGTGGATTCTTATCACTTCCACAGAAGAAAATTGGCTCTAAGATTATCCGGAGTACTTCCCAAATCTATTATTTATGGAACAAGTGCTGACTTCAGATATCTAGTAATCTAAGGTTTTTTATCTCCAAAGACCTTTCTTTCATTTGGCCTCTACTGGGTTTTCTATTTTTTTTATTTATTTATTTATTTATTGAGACAAGGTCTCACTCTGTCACCCAGGCTGGAGTACAGTGACCTGAACATGGCTTGCTGTATCCCTAACCTCCTGTGCCCAAGCAATCCTCCTGCTTCAGCCTCCTGAGTAGCTGAAACCACAAGTGAGCGCCACCATGCCCAGCTAATTTTTTTTTCTTTACTTTTCTTTTTTTTTTTTTTTTTTTTTTTTTGTAGAAACTGAGTCTCGTCATGTTGTCCGGGCTGGTCTTGAACTCCTGGGCTCAAGCAATCTTCCTGCCTTAGCCTCCTAAATGGTTAAAGGCATGTGACCATCACACCTGGCCTACCATGGTTTTCAAATGTAAAATTTTAAATGAAAAATCTTAATCTTTTGGTCATTGCTGTTTTGCTGTGGTCTGTCTCCCATGGCATGAGGGGAAATGCGTTATCTGCCTCTGTTGTAGAAAGATGCCTGAGGAAAATAATCCTCAGTTGATGTCTCAGGATTTTTCCTGCCATATACCTGGAATGTGTAAAAGCACAGGAAATATCCTAGTATAACACAAACTACACACAGTTACCTTTGGGACCTAGAATGGAATGGGGAGGAGGGAGAAACAAAGGAGACCTTTTACTCCGTACCCTTCTGTATGGTTTGAACTTGTTGTTTTTTTTTTTATAGACGGAGTCTTGCTCTGTAGCCCAGGCTGGAGTGCAGTGGCACAATCTTGGCTGACTGCAAGCTCCGCCTCCTGGGTTCACGCCATTCTCCTGCCTCAGCCTCCCGAGTAGCTGGGACTACAGGCGCCCGCCACCACGCAAGGCTAATTTTTTGTGTTTTTAGTAGAGACGGGGGTTTCACTGTGTTAACCAGGATGGTCTCAATCTCCTGACCTTGTGATCCGCCCGCCTTGGCCTCCCAAAGTGCTGGGATTACAGGTGTGAGCCACCGCACCCGGCCGGTTTGAACCTTTTATAACAAGAGTGAATCCAGATATTTACTATGTAATTTTCTCATTTAGTCTAATCATTTAGACTAAATGATTAGAAGAAACAGGACTTAAAAAGAAATGAATGAATTTCCACTAGGGGGTGGTAGAGAATCATAATCCATATCATAGTCTGAAACTGAAGGGCAAAAGGAAATAGTCAAGTTCAGAATCACATGCTGCAGCCCATTTGTAATTATAAATCTTTATTAACTAGCTCAGTGTGAGATCTAATTTCTTCATAAATGCCCAATAATATATAATATGCTCTTTTGAGCAACGCTTTTCAGATTATGTTCTCATACAGCCTTTTACAGCCCTTTACAGCTTTTCTGTAAACTGGGCTGAGATGTACCACTAAATGAAATTGAATGATAGGAGTCCATTGTGGTTGGAATAGATACACACAGTGATTGATTTAGGTAGATTAGAAGGTGGATGGATAGATAGATAGATAGATAGATAGATAGATAGATAGATAGATATGCGCACACACATTCCTCTCCTTGAGTCCCCCTGGGTAAGCCGAGGCATGAGTACTCTGAAGGAAAAGCAACCATGAGTGAGCTGCAGCATCCTTACTTAACCTCCAAACTTAACCTTTGTTGTAATATATATAGAAAAATGAGTTCCGAATTCCCTCCTTAATCTCCAACATGCAGGCACTATGCCTCTGCCCAGTTTCTTTACCCATGCCTTTTATTATATCCCATCCCCAACTGAACCCTATCTCGACCTGGTCAATAGGTGTGAGACCCAGATATTCTTATCCGGGAGATGCTATTTCTTTTTTTCCAGAGGCCAGAGGTGGTTTTTAGTAACCACCTGTATCATTTTGCAGGGGCTTCTTAAATGCGTGGCCAGACTCACCTCACTGTGCCTAGGTGCCAATATGGCCTCTCAGCTTTATTCCCCTTGCAATCCAAAATCTGCCAGAACTGGACAGCAGTTTGATCCTTGAATTAGACCGTGGTTCATGATGCTTGCTTCTCACCCTCCCACCAGCTGTGCTTTATTTTTCTTTGATTCTAACTATTACAGAAAAGACAAGTCAGACTCCTTCATCGCTGGGCAAAGTTCCAAGTAAACTGCATTGGGAATCCTTGGCATTTTAACAATGGCTCACTGCTCCCCTTGTGACTAATGGGCAACACAGGCCTGTTTATGAGTTCAAGTCTCTGTCCCTGGATCATGTAATTTTAATTGTTCTGTTACTTCATTTCAATCCTGGTCCCCACAGCATTTTTCTCACTGTTCATTTTCAAATTTAGTGTCCAACCTATTACTGTGTGCTTTTCTTAATCCCTAGACCAAGCACTCTCTGGCTTGCTCATTTTCCCACTTGGGCACCCTGGATCCCAGCCAGAGGTGGCCCTTACCACTTGGCTCCTCCCTCAGTGCCCTTGGACCTCTTTGGCTCGTAACTGCTTCTGCTGAAGGTCATCCTTTTGGCTCCATGATCTTCATGGCTGAGGTTGCTTCATTACTTCTGGAGGGAAATCTTGCTGCTTTCTGTAAACATTTTTTTCTCATGGCATATTTATGTGGAACTGTGCCATTTCTTTTCCTACTTATTCTGAATAAATTGAGCATTCCTGGACCAGATATTAGTGGAAGACTCCTATTGGATGGGGGTGGGATGATGGGTTGGTGAGAGAAGACATGGGCAATAGTAACCTCCCAGGTTTTACAACCGAAGGACCAATCCTTTATTACTAACACGTAAACTTTATCTTAAAATACGCTGCATCCATGTTTTTTCCAACTTGGGGAATTTAATCTATTTCAGCAAGGATTCTACCACGGTGTTAGGACCCCCTGCATTCCAGAGGGAACCTTTGTTATCTGCCACCTTGGAACCTCCAAAACAAAGTCTGCTCCCCCAATATGTGGGCCTTCTTCTGCCTTCCCCAGCATCTGGGCCTCACTGTAGCTCAGGCCAACTGCCAACAGCTCCAACCTAGGCTGGCTTCTACTCTTAGAGAGAGAATATTTTCGGGCCCTTTCCGAGATCCCGCACCACTAGTTCCCTCCACGCTTTCATCTGTTGCCACAGCAACATTTTGGCTTCTTATGCCCAGTTCTGCTCTCCGTTGCTTTAAGCACAAATGACATGCAATTTGGGATGTAACCATACTTTTTGTTTCCTAGTTTCACTAAAAATGAGGTTCTTGTGTGGTTTTCTTTTTCATTCTCTTTGCTGTACTATATAGAGAAATGAATTCTGAACTGAATTCCCTCCATATTCCTAGCAAAAACATAACTCCTTTGAATTGCAATTTTGATTTCCTTTTCAACCCAAAAATTAGTGAGATGTTTTTAAGTTTCCAAGTGGAGGCTTTCTTGTTAGTACTGTTTTGGTGAGGTTTTGTTTTGTTTTATTTTAGTTTTGTTTTGTTTTTCTATGTATGTGTTTTATACCGGTGAGAGAATATAGCCCGTGTAGTTTCTAATTTCTATTTAATTTTACTTTGTGGTTTAATGCATTATGTTTGGGAAAATATGCATTCACTATTTGTTGAGTACACAATTTTATAAATATTTGATAAGATCATTATTTGCTTTAGCAAAATATCTTACATTCACATTATTTTACAATTGGATATGACAGTTTAGTTTAAAAGTATGCTAAAAGCTCTTAAATGTGTCAATTTATCTTTCCTAACAAAGCACATTTTTTTCCCTAACTTTCAAAGACTTGTTTAGGATATGAAGGCTTATAACTTATGGGTAGTTGGTGAATTGTACATTTTAGCATAATAAAGTATCCTTCTTTGACACTGAAAAATTTCTTCATCATTTATTCTACTTTGTTCAATATTAGTATTTGTAATGGTTTGAATGTGTCCCCAAAAAGCATATGTTGGAAATGTAATATTCAATGCAACAGTGTTAGTAGGTGAGGCTTAATGATGAGAGGTGTTTAGGTCATGACGACTCCATCCTCATAAATGAATTAATGCCAATTACAAAAAGGCTAAAAGCCTGTGAATTCAACCTGTTGCACTTGGGCGCTCTCTCTTTCTCTTTCTCTCTCTCAGCTCTCTTTTTATCCCTTTTGCCTTCCACCACAGTATGAGGCAGCCAGAAGATTTTTGCAAGATGCAGGCCTCTCAACCTTGGATTTCCTAGCCTCTAGGACTGTAATAAGTCAATCTCTGTTCTTTAAAAATTATCCAGTCTTGGATATTCTATTATAGCAGCACAAAATGGAGTAAGACAGTATTTCTATCCATAATTAATTTTTGTTAGCATTTGCCTGAGTTTATCATTGTCCATTGGTTTAATCACTCGGTGTCATTTTGTTTTAGGTGCTTTTTGTTTGTTTTTGTTTTTATTTTGAGACAGGGTCTCAGTCTGCCGCTCAGGCTGGAGTGCAGGGGTGCGACTACGGCTCACTGCAACCTCAACCTTCCAGGCTCAAGCGATCCTTGCACCTCAGTTTCCTCAGTAGCTGGGACTACAGGCATGCACAACCACGCCTGGCTAATTTTTTTATTTTTGTAGAGATAGGGTCTCGCTATGTTACCCAGGCTGATCTCAAACTCCTGGGCTCAAGTGATCCTCCCTCCTTGGCCTCCCAAAGTGCTGGGATTACAGGTATAAGCCATTGCCACCAGCACTTTTTGAATAGCAAATACACACACACACACACACAGACCATCTTTACTGAGCAGAAAAATTTAGATTTAATGCAATGATATAAATGGACATTACAAATGCATATATATCTGGATTACTTCTGCCATCATATTTTTATATTTACCATGTTTTTTCATTTTTTAGTCTTCTGTCTCAATAAATTTCATCAAATTGCCTTTGTTACTTCTGTCTCTATGCAAATGATTTCTTATACATCTTTTTCCTTTTTTCTTATGATCCAGTTTTTGAAATATTTTTCTACAAATAAGTAATGCATGTGATGCATATCTACAAGAATTTTAAGCATCCATTTTTTCCCACCAGTCACATGAAGGAATGGAACGTTACCCTTAACATTAAAGTTTCCTGTATTTGTCTTCCCTTAGAATCTCCCTTCCTCTCTGCAAAATGCAACTATTATTCCAAATTTGGAGTTGATCATTATCTTGCTTTTCATCATAGTAAATATTGTCTTTGTCTGACAACAAATTAACATCATAATTAATATCAAAATGTAGTTTTCTGTTGTTTTCTTCATTCAACAATATGATTTTAAGAATTATGCAAGTTTATTATTTTATCTGTATTCCACTGATCTTGATGTTGCATAGAATTCCACATTATGATTATGCCAAAATTTGTGTATCAGTTTACCTGCAAATGGACACTGGGTTGTTTCCAGCTTTTTGCAATTACAAAGAATGCTCTCATGACTTTTCCTGCACATTGCTCTTGGTGCCTTATTCAATAATTTCCCTAAGGTGCATATATATTTAAGGGTAGAGCTGCTATGCTTTAGGATATTCTCAGCTTCAACTCTACAAAATGCCAATTTTTTTCCAAGTAGATTATTTCAGTTTGAAGTCCACCATCAGAGTATGAGTTCCCCTCACCCTACATCCTCATTGATTTTTGATAATGTTAGACTTTTCAATGTTTGTCTATTTAGTGATTTTAAAATGTTATTTCAAGGACTGTTCTAATTCACAATTCTCTGATAACTATTGTGAGCTTAACTTTTGTACGTTTATTGGTCTTTTATATATCCCTTTTTGTGAACTGCCCTTTCACATCTTTTGATCATTTTCCTATGGGGCTATTCTTAGATGTTCTGGATATTGATCCTATGTAAATTATGTGTGATATAAATAAGTTTAGATTGTGGCTTTTTTTCCTTTAGAGTGTGTTTTGATTAAAGTTTCTAATTTTAATGTGGTCAAATTTATTCATCTTCTCTTAACATTTTTGTTTTTAAAATGTGTATGTGTGTCTTTTTAATAAATATTTTTCTACCTTGAAGTCATACAAATATTTCTTTCACATTTTCATTTAAAAGTTTTACAGTTTTGCCTTCAATACGTCGGTACTTAGTTCATCTGGAATTTATTATGATGTATATATATCCACTAATCCAGTGTCATAAATTCAAACTTATTGAATTATACATCCTTTACCCACTGGTCTTTAATGACCATTCTTCACATACAAGGGGTCCTGACACTCTTTCCATTCTATTCTATTGGCCCAGTTGTCTACTCCCTCTCTCACCAATAATAGCACATGGTCTTAAATCCAGTGGTGTATATAATATCTTCTCATGTAGTCAGGAAATTCCCCAACTTCCTCTTTATTTTCAATGGTATTTTGGCTCTTCTTGAACTTGTGTTCCTTCGTTTCATTTTAATATCATTGTGTCCAATTCTATAAAACATTTTGTTGAAATTTTTCTAGAAATAGCATGAAACTATAGATCACATTGGGGAAAACTGGCATTTTAATGATATTGATGCTTCCTAACCATGAATGTATCTCTCCATCTGTGCAGTACTTCTTCAACTTCTTTTAATGATTTTAATTTTCCCCACTAAGATCTTGCATGCCTTTCCTTTTTGAGAATTTATTCCTGATTACAGTGGACCCTTCAACAATGTGAGGGTTAGTAGCGCTGACCACCTGTGCAGTCAAAAATCTGCACATAATTTTTGACTCCTCCAAAACTTTACTAATAGCCTACTGTTGATCAGAAGTCTTACCAATAACATAAAGTTATTTAACATATATTTTATATTTTTATGTGTTATATACTGTACTCTTACAGTAAAGTAAGCTAGAGAAAAGAAAATGTTGGCCAGGTGCGGTGGCCCATGGCTGTAATTCCAGCAGTTTGGGAGGCTGAGGCAGAAGTGCTTGAGACAAGGAGTTGGAGACCAGCCTCAGCAACATAGCGAGACCCCATCTCTACAAAAAATTAAAAATTTAGCCAGGTAGGGTGGCGTGCACCTGTAGTCCCAGCTACTTGGGAGGCTGAGGTGGAGAATCGCTTGAGCCCAGGAGGTTGAAGCTACAGTGAGCCATGATAACACTGCACTCTAGCCTGGGCAACAGAGCAAGACCTTGTCTCAGAAAAGCAAAGAAAATGTTATTTAAAAAATCATAAAGAAGAGAAAATATATTTACTATTCATTAAGTGGAAGTGGAGCATCATAAAGGTCTTCATCCTCATGTCTTCATGGTGAATATGCTAAGAAGGAGGAAGGGGAGGAGAGGTTGGTCTCGCTGTCTCAAGGGTGGCAAAGGCAGAAGAAAATCATATATAAGTAGACCTGCACAGTTCAAGCCCATGTTGTTCAAAGGTCAACTGTACTGTAAGTTTGTTATATAAACCAGTTAATCACATTTCTACTTTTTTGTTTTTATAGAAAATGCAATAGATTTGTTTATATATTTAGCCAACCACTGTGCCAAACTCTTAATTCTTATGTTTTAGATTATTTTTCTCTGTAGACAATTGTATCATCTATGAATAATGAAAGTTTGCTTTATTTCATTCCTATCCTTCCAACTTTTTTTTTGGTCTGTTGTTAAAAGCCCCCCTATCCCATGCCTAAGTAATAAGTAATCTCAATATTACATTCCATCTCATATAATAAAATTTGACTTCCTAAAAGGGCTTGCTTCTTTTTAATTCAATGTCAATGCTGGAATTTCAGTTCTTAGCCTTGAAACCCTGGTGAAAAAATTCTCAGCAAGGTAAGAAGGAAAAAAATGTTCTCCCCTGCTCCTGAAGCTGGAGAGAACAATAAATGAAAACTGTTGTCATAAATGGTTATTTCTAACAATTTTTCAAACCCCTAGACTTCAAATATTTTGGACAGGACCTGACAAAATGACCCTTAATCTGTAAAACATCTGTACTTTTGACCACTCATCTTTCTTAATAATTCAGTTCTCTGGTGATAATGTTTGAGCTTAAAATCTCTATCTTCAGAAGGTAACGTGATTTGTGAATTTTCTGTCAAATCAGGAAAGAATCACTGGCATTGCCCTCTTCCCACACATGCATAGGATAAAATAGCTCTACTGGACTTTTTATTAATCAAAGAGCCCGAGAGACAGCTGAATGGCTGAACCAAGCAGAGAGTGGAAACTTGGGGAGGGTAATTCCTTGCTGGGCCTTAAAAGGAGTCCACAAGATAGGAAAAAAACGAAAAAGCCAAATAAGATGAACCTCTATTCAGGCCCCAATGAGAGGCTGCTTGACTCTGATCTTTCGTTAGCTGGCTCAAAATTTTGTTCTTAAAGAATTATTTTTACTCAAAATCAAGAACTGTTAGAAAACAAGAAAAATTATGGAGTTTTGTTGTTGATTTCCACCTCTCTACATATATATATGAAATACATATCTCCTCCCGATACACATGCACACACGCAAAAACATATTTAACTGAAACAACGGTTTCATGAAACTATAGTTACTCTCATTACCTGTGATGCAGGCAAGTATTTTCAATTGTATTTTATTCTATTTCATTCTACTTGGAAAAAAAGTCTTTTGGTCTCAACATAAATGGGTTCTGACCTGCAGTTTCAAGCCAATACGTTACAGTAAGAGTAAATGTAGGGTTTCTCCCAGTTTTATCTGGCAGTCCCAAAGTCAGGATCAGAGTAACCGATGGAGCATCATTTGTACGCTCCACGTCTGAGGAGGAGGTCTGGGAAAAGATCCAACGTGTAGGACTGGCGCAGAGGCTCAGGCCTGTAATCCCAGCACTTTAAGAGGTGGAGGCGGGAGGATAACTTGAGGTCAACAGTTCGAGACAAGCCTGGCAAACATGGTGAAACCCCGTCTCTACTAAAAATACAGAAATTATCCAGGCGTGGTGGTGCGCACCTGTAGATCCAGCTCCTCGGGAGGCTGAGGCACGAAAATCGCTTGAACGCGGGAGGCGGAGGTTGCAGTGAGACAAGATCACACCACTGCACTCCAGCCTGGGCGACAGAGCGAGACCCTGTCTCAAATAAAAAAAATAATAATAATAATCCAATGTGTCCCTAGTCTGGCTTTCAGGGTCTTAGATGAGGTTCGGAAGTGGACTTAGGAGCCTTAGGAGCGCAGCCAGTGCTGTGGATTCCCACATCCACGGGACCTGCGGTTTCGGGTTATTCCATTCAGGGATACATGACGTCCCTCATTTCTACCTACCAGTGGGCTGGTCAAGATTCTCATTTATCAAGTCAGTTGGAGTGGGCTTAAGTAAGTTCTCAGCCAAGGCTGTGGGGTCTGGAGGACCAGATATCCCGACCAAAAGCCCCCCCTCCCATTCCTTTCACACGCCTGCCGCAGAGGTGCACGGGTGCGAGTGGGGAACTGAGGCAAGAAGCAGATGGGGCGGCACCGAGAGAAGAGAAACTACGCTAGAGGAAAAGCTCGAGCTGTTACCCCTCCCAACTTCTTCCGCCTTCCGCCTTCCCCCTTCCCCCTCTTTCCCCTCTTGCCCCTCTCCAGCTTTTCTGGTCCAACCCTCTTCTGCGCCTAACACTGGCACCTCCTTTTCTTCCGGCTGATGAATAATTGTCCGCAAACCAGCCTCTCTGGGGCACTGAGGGGCGGGAAGGTTAGAAGGAGCCAGGGCTAGAGTCCTGGAAGGTGGCAGTCAGGTCGCAGGGCCACAGCAGTCACTCTGCGACTCTCTCTTCCGGTGTTTCTCCAGCGCCAAGCGGGAGAAGACGGAGCCTGGGAGCTGGGACTGGAGGAGCGGGAAGCGCAGTATCGGGACCACGGCTCTGGGACCAGGAAAAACGCAGACTCTCCAGAGTCAATGTCTACTTCAGCCAGCTCAAGGGCGCGACAACCTGGCGCCGAGCATCTCAGGCCGCCGCGGGGACCCCCCCTAAGGGACTCGGGAACACCTGCCTACCCTAGAAGAGGCGGAGAATAACCCCGTAGGGAGTTAAGCGGCCTCTGCCTACAGCGTTCCTCCCGCCTCCACGGCGCCGAGCCCTGATTGACGTTCAGCCAGGCCAATCATAGCCTGTGTCTGAGGCGCGCGGAGCTGGAGCGCCCAGGGCATGTCCGCCGATCCCAAGGAGGCAATCTGTCAGGCGCCGCCCGGGCGGCAGTATGCCTGAGGGGGTCCTCCGTGTTCGCGCCTCCCGCCGCCTGCACTGAAAGGTCTGTACCTGAGCCTGGATACTTGAACAGAGGCAGACACTGCGGCTCAAAACCCCAAGGGTAGGTACCTATTGTGCGGAGTCTCGGAACGCCTGCCTGGAAGAAGAGTTCCGGCGGCTCCCCGAACGCTTGGAGAAAGCGCTTGGATGCAGTTGCAGGGTGAGATTTGAGACGGTGATTGTGTTTTCCAGCAGGCGCTCAGGCGGGGTGGTGAAGGAGGGATACAGACCTCTAAAGATTCCTCTCTCGTTGGGGTGAGGTGGGGAACAGCAGTGACAGTAGTTCTCATCCCTGAGCCTCCTCCGGGCCGGCCCGTGGAGGAGAGAGAAGGGGAGGGAGAAGGGTTTGCCCAGGCCTTCAGACACTTTACTTTGTGGGAGATGTATGTGCTGAGTGTCCCTGCTCTGGAGGGATTGTTAAAGAATCCAGGTTCTTGGGGAGTGTCTCAGGAGAACACTCCAGGTGATATCCTTATTCTTCCTATTTTCACCGTGTTGGTTTTTTTTTGGATATAACTTGTTCCCTTTAACCCGAGGTGGCCTTGGTGTCTGGCAGCTGTTTTCTCTGCCAGGCACCACCCTCTGGGCCTCACGTCTTCATCCCTCAAGTCCGCTGCCTCTGAGCTGCTACTTAGATCTGGTCTGTTTCTACCTCTGCTGGACCAGAAGTTTGCATTAACGCCCCCACCCCATCCTGCAAGACCGGCGCTTCCAACCAAGGGCTCTCTCCTCTGAACCTAGAACCTGCTTGGAAATCGAGTATTTCCTCTATGCCCAGGTGGAGATTGATGTTTGGGTTTCACATCTCCCAACTCTGTTGGGTACTATGTCGTTTCTCAGCTTGGTTGTATGTGCCTCCATTGAGTGGACCGTATCTCCAGAATTTCTCCTAACCCTCCCAGTGTACTCCCCTGCAATCCTTTCTTTTTTTCTCCAAATCCCCCACCCCCCACCAGAAATGACTTTACCCCTGTGCCACTTATTTTGGCCTGGAGCACTAAGGAGCCATACTACACCCAATGCCAGAGGTGGAACAGAAATGAGGTTTGAAATGGGAACCAGAAGCTAATCTGTGGGAAATTCTTTTACTCCTCAGACGTGTAAAGATGTGTTGGAGACTCTCGTAAATATGTATTCAGTAATGCAGCATATACAGTGATCACCATGTATTCATTTTTTATGGGAATCAACAATTCAGAATGATCAAAAATCCCTGTGTGTAGAGACATGAATCTATAGGAATATCACACATAGTGAGCACAACTGTGAGTGAAATCCCATGTTTCATGCATCCCAGCAGTCCCAAAGGGAGCCTCCAAATGTGTACGGGATTCAGACTCCATGTAACCTGCATCTGTCTATGCACTAGCTATGTGAGCTGTTACCTCAGTCTTGATGAGGTTACTCAGGAAGTCTGGGATCTTGATTTTTGCCGGTCACTGATCACCTGGCTACAGGAAAGGAGACCTAAATCCAGAACTTAAATTTATGAACACCAGGTCTGTAGGCACTAGACCTCAGAAGTAGGTGAGTAGGTGGCTATTGGTTGGTCCCTTCTGGAGTGAGGCAGAGATACCTATGCCATATGCAACATAAAAGGTTGCCTGAGCCCCTCAGCCTGAGGTAGAGTAAGGAGGGAGAGGTGGAGAGGGACTTTCTTCTCAGACCAGGGAAATCAGAAGCCATCAGATGCCTTCAGTAGGGAATCCAGCACAAAGAGGATCATAAGTCATCTCCCCACTTCTCTATAGTCATCATAGACGTAATTGCTAACCTACCCTTCCTTGGTGCTCTGGTTAGTAGAGTGAAGTTGAGATAATATAAATGAAAAAACTGAGCAGAAAGGGAGTGAGGATACGGGGCCTCTTCAGTTTGCCTTATGGGCTTCCCACTCTAAATAGATGAGGTACACAACATTCTGGCAGTATCACACTAGGGCCAGAGTTGGTAGCTCACAGATGTACGATAGAGGATGGAAGGAGTATGCCTCTCAGGCAGGCAAGTTTAGCCTGGTAGACAGAGGATGTGGCTTAAAAGTCACTGCCTACAAGACCAGTGCATGCAAGTGAGTCCCTGCTGCTGCTTGGATCAGAGGAGGTGAGGCAGAAGGCTGATGAAAACCCACCAACTGATGGTCAGTCCGAGAAGCAGTCAAGATGGAGAACTGCAAAATTAACAGCTTAAGTTTTCCAGGAGTCTCAGTGCCCAATGTCAGGTCTACCAGGGATGTCCAGCCCCTCTGGTCAGAGCCCCAGGAGCCTTGTCTGAATGTGGATCCCCTCTGCTTATTCAAAGAGACCTGGGAAGCTGAGCCAGGAACCTGGATAATGACCAGAAAGTCACCCAGACACCTGAGAAATGCCTCCCTTATATCCAAGAGATCCCTGTGTGTAGAACACATGAATCTATTGGAATATCACACACAGTGAGCAGACTCTTCTTACACTTACTAAACTCTCTTCGTAGATTTACTAAATTTTTCACCAGTGACTCAATGGAGCGAAACCAGGTCCCAGACTCGATTTAAAAAAAAAAACCACACACACACACACACAAAAAGTTCTTTAGGTGAGCATGTATGCATGTGTAAATGGTACTATACAATGGTATGATTGGATAGTCAAAGGAATATCTAACCCAAGTGTACATAAGGAGTAAATTTGGAGTCAGAGGAAGTTGGTCATTGTAGGAAAGTAACTGCTGCAAGAAAGATTTCTTAGAATGTAACTGTCTAATATGAGGCATTTATGCCTCTTTTCCTCCATGTTTCTAGTTTCTGCCTTGGGTTTGGCATTTATTGTTTATCCTGCTTCAAGTATAAGACTAGTGGTTTATTCGAGGGCCCACAACTTCCACTTCTACCCTGGCGTCACACAGATCATTTTCTCTTCTCAAGTCATTGTATTTTCACTGGTAGTAAAAGAGGATAATATCTTCATCTTCAAATAAATTAGTGGGAGGGATTCAAATTATGAGGGAAAAGAAAAATTGGTTCTTCTGCTGTAGGGAAGGGTTACTGAAAATTAAAGGACAACCTACTGAGCTGAAGAGAGCTTTGGGGTTTGGTAATTTGGGGTGTGAGGTGGATCTTCAGGAATGCCATGGGCTTCAAGACTAGTGTGTCTCTCCCTTAGTATGTTCCTCCTCAGTTTGAAAGGACTTCCTGGTAAAGGACTGAAAGAAATGTCCACTCCATCATGTCTCTGCTGACACCTAGCTTCTCTTCTCCAGTTATAAGTCCATTTTCCTACTGGGGTAACACAAGAAGGAGGAAGAATAGCTCAGGGGTCTTCCCTTCACATCTCTCCTACAAGGATTGTGAAATGTCATATGCCTCCTCCCATAGACTTAGATAGACCTAAAATTGTCAACATGTGTCCAGATAGTTGCAAAAAATATATAATTTCCAACATATTCTCCATATTAACACTTTAAAATAAAACTGTTAATCACTCATATGTTCAATTCAATCTAAATATCATAATGTTTTGACACCCATTATCATTAATTTAAAAAATATACAAACAACCTCTTTCTTAATGGTTGGAAATTTTACATTGCTCTTTTTTCCCACTTTGAATTCATATTTTTATTCTACCCCCCATGTAGAATTTTTCTTTTTCTTTTTTTTTTTTTTTTTGAGTTCTCAACCCTGGTTACATCCTAATGTAATTTTTTTCTTTGTTCTTGGAAATCTTTTATTGAGCCACCTATTCTGCTTCTTTGCAACAAAATATGTTCTTACATTGAATTTTTAATTTCTTGTTGTAAGTGTAAAAGTTATATGGGCTGGGTGCAGTGGCCCACACCTGTACTCCCAGCACTTTGTGAGGCTGAAGCAGGAGGATTACTTGAGCCCAGGAGTTCAAGACCAGCCTAGGCACATAGGGAAACCTCATCTCTACAAAAAAAAAAAAAATTACTGGACATGGTGGCTCCTGCCTGTAGTCTCAGCTACTTGGGAGGCTGAGGTAGGAGGATCACTTGAGCCCAGGAGGTCGAGGCTGCAGTGAGCCATGATCGTGCCACTGCATGCACTCTACCCTGGATGACAGAGTAAGATGCTGTCTCAAAAAAAAGTTATATGGATTAAGATAGGATTACCAACTGTTAGAGATCAAAATAATGTCAGTACAGATTGGATATGCCTTATTTGAAATGCTTGGGACCAAAAGTGTGTTGGATTTCAGATTATCTTGGATTTTAAAATATTTGTATATACATAATGAGATATCTTGAGGCCGGGACCCAAGTCTAAGCATGAAGTTCACTTATGTTTCTTATATACATTATGCACATAGCCTGAAGGTAATTTTATACCATATTTAAAATAATTTTATATGTGAAATGAAGTTGTGTTAAGTACAGTACTTACATGTGGCATCATATTGGTGCTCAAAAAGTTTCAGATTTTGGAGCATTTCAGATTTTCTGATGAGGGATGCTCAATCTGTAATACACATTTTGGTAAATAAAAGTGTAAGTTTGTAATGGTAAAATTTAACTAGAAATGCATCTCTTAATGAGATGGATAGGGACTTTATTTTCCCAATTTCATGTTGACAAATGTTACTTATTGTTAATGAATCTGGGCTGTATATTATTTCAATTAAAAAATTTTAACATGAAAGAACTAAGGAATCTTGATCATATAAATGAATGAGAAAATAAAGACTTGTTGAGGCAACTTCACCCAATTTTTAAAATTTCTTCTTAGTCGTATGCAAAACTCACATAATGGGCTATTATTAAATAATATTTTTAATAATCTGTCAGCTGACAACTCAAGTATAAGGTTCTTCTTCAATTTTGTTGAAAGCAAAGAATTAGAAACCAATTGACTTGCAAAACTATTTTTATACATACATTAGGTTCTTTCACTTTGTTTTTAGAACTATACCAAAGACTTCACAAAGTCTTATAAAATAACTAATAATTATACCTGCTGCTCTTTCCCTTAGAGATACCTTGTTCATGAATCTCAAATTAGATAAAACTAGGGTTAAAGAAAAACAACCCCCCACACACAAAATTGGAGATCAAAAATCAATAGGTTCTTAAAAAATATCTCTTCATTTTTTATGTCATCTGGAAGTGCCTTTTAAAACTATGACACAGAGATGGTGCTGTATAGTTTACAGTTCATGTGTGTGTGTGTTTAATTTCATTATTGTACAAAATTGTTAATTTTATAATCATGCATTTGATAGATGTAAAACAGTGTGTCAGCCTCCAAGCGGGAGAAATTAATCCAAAATAAATGAAGCTGGATTTCTAAAGTTTAGAGCATCACATCCAAGATTGCATTTGGGAACATTCTGTTTTGTATCCATACACAAATGAATTTCTGTTTTTAAGAACACAATTTAATCTACTTAGTGGAAATCAACAGCAAAATGAAGAGAAGGTATTAGATAATTAATAAATATAGGTTTACAGAAATTCTATTACTGACTGCTATTATGTGCATTAATTACAGCAGAATCCACAAAACATTTCCATCAAATTAAATCTTACTCTAGGAGGTATATGATAAAAATAAATAAATGAACAGAGAAATAACAGCATACTATAAACTGTTACCCAAATAGAAAAATATATTTACACTATCCAGAAATCTTTGGTAAAAGTTAATGAAAATATTTCCCCTATTAGTTAGAAGAAGTTCAAGAAAACATACATTAAAATACCTTCAATATGTGTTTGTTTTACTCCAAGATGTGATGTTGATCTGTGAGAAATTAATTTTGAGCGTTTTGCCTCCACTGCCTTGAAATAATGCAAAATAAGCAACTGAGCTGGGGGCAGTGGCTCATCCCTATAATCCCAGTGCTTTGGGAGGCCAAGGAGGGAGGATCGCTGGAGCCTGGGTGACAGAATAAGACTCTCTCTCTCTCTCTGTGTATATATATATATATTTGCAACTGAAGCACAGATGGGACACAGGTAAGTGGGAGAACTCACCAAGCTCTTTGTTAGTATTTAGAGTGTTTCATAGAAAGTTAATATTTCTTAACTTTTTTTTTTTTTTTTTTTTTTTTTTTACAAATTTAGAATATCCTAGCTCTGAGACAAAAATTGGGAACCTCAGCATGAGTTTGTCACCTGAATGAAATAAAAAAAATCACGTTGAAGGCTGGTGCAGTAACATGTGCCTGTAGTCCCAGCTACTCTGGAGGCTGAGTCAGGAGGATCACTTGAGACCAGAAGTTCAGGAATTCAAGACTGGCTTGAGCAACATAGCAAGACTTCATTTCAAAACAAACAGAAAAAAGCCACCACCTTCAGTATTTCTTGCCAAAGCAAAGGAGCCATTTGTTCTTTACGATGGTCAGGAAAGGAAGCATCAAGGTCATCAAATGAAAAATTTTCAGCATTTCAGCCTCTCTGCTCAGGGAAATATCTGAATCTAGAATATCACAACATGAGCCAAAACCGCCCCATTTCTCATGCCACATGTCACTCTTAACACAAGGTTACTCAACCTCGAGCATGGTTGGCATTTGGGGCTGAATAATTCTTTTTTGTAGGGGGCTGTCCTGGGCATTGTAGGATGCTCATGAGCTACCTCAGTCTCTACCACCCACTAGATGCCAGTAGCATTGACCCCTGATCTCTCTACCCAAGTTGTGACAACTAAAACCATCTCTGGATAATGGAGGAACCTTAAATGCATATTGCTAAGGAAAAGCCAATCTGAAAGGATTACATATTGTATGAGTCCAACTATATGGTAATCTGGAAAAGGCAAAACCATGGAGACAGTGAAAAGGTAGTGGTTACCAGTGGTCCATGGGAAGGGTTGGATGAATAGGTGGAGCACAGAGGATTTTTAAGGCAGTGAAACTATTCTGAATGATACTGTAATGGTGGATACATGTCATACCTTTGTCAAAACCAATAAAATATAACAACCAATAAAACTGCACAAAGAGTGAACCCTAATGTAAACTATGGACTTAATAATGTATCAATATTGGCGCACCAATTTTAACAAATGTACCACACTAATGCAAGATGTTACTAATAGTGGAAACTGGAGGGAAGAGGGCTTGAGGGGACATACGGGAACTCTCTGTAATTCCTGTTCAGTTTTTCTGTAACTGTTAAACTGTCCAAAAAAAGTCTGTTTTTATAAATGGAGGCATGGTTTTATATGGACTAAAATACTATGATTGCCTTTTTATTTTACACATGGTGAAATTAGAGCAGGACATATTTTAAACTCAAAATTCACAAAATTAATTTATGAAAATGTTTACCCAGATCAAGAATATTAAAGAAACTTAGATTAATATTGTTACCTTGAATTTATTTTACTGAGTAATCCTCTAAGACTCCTCTACACATTATTAATCTAGAAGGATTTTTAAAGTCTTTATGACAATTAATTATTGGTCTACAGTCAAATTGCGTATCCCCATTAACTAGAGTTATATTTTTCCATTTTCTGATCCAAAAACTTTAGGAACAGGAAATGTTTATTTTAGAAAACAAGAACACTTCTTAAGCATTTGCTGTTAACAGTTATTTTCACATGTGCTTGTACTTATTTTACACTTGTCAGAACATAGTATTTACCTTTGAACCAAGGTTTTATAATAAGCAAGCACTTTTTTTATTTAGAAGTCACATTTTCCAAGTAGAAAAATCATTAAAAATTCAGTCCTCTGAAGGCTAATTTCTTTAAATCATTTAACCTAATTGTTTAAGGTATAGATTGGAATTTTTCTCAGCACTCTCTTGAAAACAGGTGACAGTGGAACCCTGTTAGGTTCACAAATCCTAGACTTTGATTATATAGCCCAGGCTCAAATTTTTCTCGAATGTTACGAACATTCAAAGCATTAGGAGTCTTGGTTTCATTTCTTAATTTTTTTTCTTCTGGGTATATTTGAGACTCATCTTGGATTCAAATAAATTAATAATAGTCTCATGAAACCGATAAAAATGGGAGCTCCATTGAACATGAGAGACATTGATTCGTAGTTTCTAACATCCTCCAAATGAGGAGCCCATCCCTAATTTAGATGCTTCTTTCAAAGGAGGCTCCTTTCCTTCGTTATCCATAATATAGTCACACCAGTCCTGAAAAAACATGGAACAGACTCCAGATCTTTATATTTCATACTCTAAAGTCGTACAAGCCAATCTGCATTTCCTCTAGTGGAAACTGTATAGCTGGTCATCTTTCCAGGACCCTTTTATCAAGAAACAATGCAGCTTCTACATTTGTGCTGCTTCTACACCAAAACAGCTGGAATGTATATAGTATGGTTCTGGATGCTCTTGTATACCTCACTCTTCATTTCTCACCTAACCCATGTGCTATGATTTGAATGTTTCTCCCCTGCAAAACTCATGTTGAAATGTAATTGCCATGATAACAGTATTAATAGGTGGAATATTTAAGAGGTGATTAGGGTGGGATTGGTGATGTTATAAAAGGGTAAGTTCAGCCCCTTCTTGCTCTCTCTGTCACCCTTCCACCTTCCTCTGTGTGATGATGCAACAAAAAAGCCCTTCCCAGATGCCAGCATCTTGATTTTGGACTTCTCAGCCTACAGAACTATAAGCCAATAAATTTCTGTTATTTGTTATTAGTCTGTGATATTCTGTTACAGTAGCACAAAATGGACTATGACACCATGTGTTTACACAGAAAGAAAAAAATATCATACGGTAATTGCTCCTAAATATGCAGAGAATATGTTCTGATATCCTTAGTGGATGCCTGAAACTGCAGATAGTACCAAACCTTATATATACTATGTTTTTTTTCCCATACATATGCATGTTAAAGTTTATAAGTTAGGCAGAGTAAGATATGAACAATAACTAATAATGAAATAGAAACGTAACGATGTGCTGTAATAAAAGTTATGTGACTGACGCCTCTTTTTCTTCCTCTTTCTTTCAAAATATCTTAATATTTTCAAGCCATGGATAACTGAAACTGCAGAAAGTGAAACTGTAGATAAACTATTAACTCTATTTAAACAATAAAAGAATTATAATTATATTCTTGGGAAAATTAACAATTATCCAAAGTCCCTTTGCAAAGGGAAAAAAAATGCATGTATTGGAAAAAATCTCAACCACAGGGTTCCCTAAGCTTTGCAAACAACAAATAGCATCCACCTATCCATCCTCAGAGAGCAACAGTTTTACTGTTATTTAGAAAAAGCAACTATTTCAGGCTGCAGGTTGTGCACATCAGCACTTCCCAGCTCTCTACTAATATGGGAAAACTGACTATCCCTGACTTCAGTTTTTGTGAAGCTAAATGCCTGACTAGAGTTTAAACTGAGGCTAATTGGAGATCATAAAATTTTACAGCTTGCTAGAGGTGGACCACAATTTTGATTGGAAACTTTCCACCAACCAATTCTAAAAGGTGTTAATGGTGACTATTTTCTAAAACAAATCTGAAGAGTAACTAATATGATAAGACCAGAAATATATTTCTCTGGCAAGTCCCTATAAAAAGAAAGCTAGGTAATTAAATAATCTCTCAACAATATTGTTTTAGGAAACCCAATAGAGAGTTTCACAGGCCTGTTTCTTATGGGATTGCTCAATGTAGGTAAATATTATCAAACCAAAAAGTAATTTTGTAACAGAAATTCTACAGAGCCCCAATACCTTACAGAATGATGAGTACAACAGTAGAAACAAATAGAAGATAACCTAGAAAAATAAAGCGAATAACTTAATGGCGTGAGTTAGGTTAAGAAAAGCTTCCTGGAAAAAGACATCTGAATAGAATTTTAGTAGATATAGCTAGGAATTCCCAAGCAGGTAGAAGAAGGGGGACATTCCAGGCAAAGGAATCATGTGAATGCAAAGGTAGGGAGTCATGAATCAATATGTTCGGTTTTTTTGTTGTTTTTGTTTTATAAAGAGCTATAATAGGCTGGGCACAGTGGCTGTAATCCCAGCACTTTGGGAGGCTGAAGCAGGTGGATCACTTGAGCCCAGGAGTTCGAGACCAGCCTGGGCAACATGGCAAAACACTGTCTCTACAAAAACAAAAAAAATTATCCCTGTTCAGTGGTGTGCGCCTGTGGTCCCGGCTACCTGGGAGGCTGAGGCGAGAGGAGTGCTCAAGGTGGGAGGTGGAGATTACAGTGAGCAGAGATCACACCACTGCACTCCAGCCTGAGCGACAGAGAGACTCTGTCTAAAAAAAAAAAAAAAAAGCTATAATAAGATCAGCTTACTAGACAATACAGTGAAATGGGGGAAGCTAGAGAAGAGAGGTGGGCAGTGGCCTCTTATGCTACGTAAGAGATTTGACATCATAAAGTAAGTTGCCAGAGTTCTGAATGAGGGCATTAGAAATAGTAATGAACAGGAAAGCATACACTTAAGAGCTGTCTGCTGTCTGGGAGGTGGAATTTACACTGAGTACTGAGTAATAGAATGAAGGGGTTGAGGGAAAGGTAAGAATCTAGGGTGAGTGTAAATCTTCTGGTTCAGGGGATAAACAACAGGAAGTCATTGAAATCTATTGGCCTATCCGCATTTTGAAATTATTTTTACTCATGTAAGATTCTGTAACATTATATGGTCATTAGGAAATATCTGTTTACTGAATTATGGAGGTATTCGAAATGTTCAAACATTTCATGCAATATCAAAAACTCAAACTGGCTGCAGTGGCTTATGCCTGTAATCCCAGCACATTGGGAGACCAAGGCAGGAGTACTGTCTGAGCCCAGGAGTTCAAGACCAGCCTGGGCAACATGGCAAGACCCCATCTCTACAAAATTTTTTTAAATTTGCCAAGAGTGGAGTGCACATCTGTGGTCTCAGCTACTTGGAAAGCTGAGGCAGGAGGATCACTTGAGCCCATAAGGTTGAGAGCTGCATTCAGTGAGCCCTGTTCATGCCACTGCAATCCAGCCTTAACAACAGAGCAAGACCCTGTCTCAAAAAAATATTATATTCATTAATGTTGCTGCTGATATCAGAAAAAATTCTAAGTATCCCACAGTAGCAGATACAAGCTTTTCAAAATTCCAACTTCTACTTTTAAAAGCTTAAATTTTAGCACTGGCAACAAATACAACTAGTTGTTTTCCCTAAAGTGATAGTATCACTGTTTATTTTCAAGAAAATGTCTGCCAAATTCCCAAGTCTGAATAATCAATTTTCTGTCACTTTTTTTTTCCAAGTGAAAAGATGGTGTTTCCATGAAAGAAAAGAAAAAGTGGCTAATTCAGCTTGCAACTCAAACAAGTGTTTTTCCAAAAGACAACTATATTTCAGCATGCAGTAGAAGTGTTTTATGGGTACATCACATTGTGTCACAAAGAATTTTTTTAAATGTGCTTAAGGGTTGAGATTTAGTAGAAAATAATTTTTACAACTTCATCAAGGACATTATTTTAGTAAAACTGTTTTTTTTTTACTACGAATGTGTGGTGGTGAAGAATACAATGACTACTAATAAAATTTGGTGCCATTGCCTTAATTCGTGCTAAGACACCAGTCATTTTACCCACCATTGGATAAAATCCACCATTTTTGCACCATCAGTGCAAATGTTAACACAGTTAACACAGTTGTTGAGGATAAACCACCAGATTCAAAAAAGTCATATAACACTTTTAATGTTTCAGAACCCCTGTTGCCCAGAATTCACATAAAAGAAGATCATCAATGGTCAATTGATGCTGATACCTGATGAATGAAAGCAAAACAGGATGTATAGCCATCTGTAGATCAGTCCCTTTGTAAGGCTAAGGTACAATTCTTTAGATGATATATTAACTCAGTCTTTATGTTTGCAGTTAAATCTTTAATTTGACAAGTTATTGCATCATTGGAAAATGCCAGCACTATGCATTCTTGTGGTGATTTTTCATCCAGCAGGTATTCAGCAATGTCAACTGTTCAAGCCTTTATTAGTCTCTCTGTGATTGTGTGTGCTCCTCTAGCCAATACAATATGATGGCTTATCCTGTAAGAAGCTTTTAAAGAGTGTATTACATCTACATTTCGGTTATTTAATTCCTTTTTTTAATAAATTCTGAATGATTGGTCCCAAAATGATACTGCAACTTTGTTGGAACCATATAAGTGTTTGAAAATGTTTTACTGCACAAGACACAATATGATAAATTATTAACATCTATAAAGCTGAACAAAAGATCACTTTCAACATATTTTTGTTGTGTATAGTTGTGCTCAGTTTCTTTGGAATAGATTTCTCCTTTTTATGAGGAATCAGATAACTTGCTGATATGTCAATGTCATCCTTTTCAGCATCTCTAGACATAGGCAATCTAGACACCAGAAAATGTGTTTTCTCTTCTCCCTTTTTAAAGCCAACCATCCACCCTATTCAGATAAAATTTTTTAATTAAAAACATTTTTGAAAAATATATTATTGCAAAACAACAAAGTAAACATAATTTTTGTTATGTTTCTGTGTAAAAGGAAAAACTTTAGGATTTAAAAATGATTTCTTGGAAGATAATGAGATTACAGAGATTATAACAGGTATAACTGAAGATAGCTGGTAAGAGCATGGTAGAAAAGAAATAATTTCTGAAAACTACATACTTATACCGTAAACTCACTACCTTTGAAAACTCTAGAAAATACAATACACAGGCACACAATCTGTTAGGTATCAGAGAAATAGTCATCACTATTCATCACATGCCATTGTTGTCTTTGGCGAACCCTTCTGTACACTTATGAGAGTGAGAGTAAAAAAAAGGCAAATAACATCTTAATTTTATGAATATTTTTGACCTTGTTGACCCTCTAAAAGGATCCAAGGGATCTCTCCCTCCCAACATCCCCAGGAATCCTCTGATCACATTTTGAGAACTGTTGGATAAGTCAGTTAATATTGCAGGAACATAGGCTATCACCATGGGGAATAAATGAAACCAGATCTCTACCTCACACCATTACAAAAATAAATTTTAAATGAAATAAAAGGCTAAATGTGAAAAGGTAAAGGTTTAAAGCTTTGGGGGGGAAATGTAGAATAACTTTATTATCTCAAGGTAGATAGCCTAACAATACCACGTGCTGAAGCAGAAATGTGAAGAAATGGGAATTTGCATAGAATCTTGGTGGAAGGGTTAGTTTTCCCACTTATTTCAACTACTTATTTCACATATGCAGTGTTGTACAAATTTAAAGAGACAAGAATCCTACAGACAAGCAATTCTATGTTTATATGCCCTAGAGACCTGAAGACATTCTCAAATACAAAAACAAAGAAGTATGCATAAGGATGTTCATTGCAGGTTTGCTTATAATTGGTGGAAAGTCAGGGGATGCCCATCAGTGCATAAAAAAGTAAATAAAATTGTGTTGCCTTTCTACAATAAATTGTGCAACCATTAAAATAAACTAAATGTCCATATTTCACAAGGACAATTCTCACAACATAATAACAAATGATATGCACTAACTTTAAACTAGTAATTGCATCTGGTGAGGGAAAAGAAAGGTGGACCTGAAGTCAGGTGCAAACAGCACAACTGTATTTGAGTAGTGGTTGCATGACTGTTGTTCCATGTATTTTCTGTATGTTACAAATATTTACTATTAATTATAACAACATAAGATGTACTCTAACTCCTTCATGCTGCTAATTATAGAATATCTACTTTGTTGACTAAACCCTTTAGCATATATATATATATATATATATATATATATATAGCCTATTTCTGTTAATGGTTCTTTGGATAAATAACAGTTGACTTTGTTCCTCTGCTTGGTATTTTAAAAAACCTATTAGTTTACAAATCTCTTACTAATTTTAGTTTTAATATTTGTATTGTTAAGTATTTTAAACACACAGAAAGGCAAATAAACCCCCATTACCCAAACACCCAGCTTTATTAAATCTTAGTATTTTGTCCTATTTGTTTCAATGGTTTTTTTAATAAATCAGTGACTACAATAAAATTGATACCTCTGAATCCTTCCATTTTCTTTTCACTGCCCCCAGATATAACCACCAATGTGAAGTCAGTTTTATCATTGCTATGCATGTTTTTAATATTTTTACTAAATGTTTATGAATTCTTAAACATTATGAAGCATTATGTTATAGAGTTTTTAAGTTTTATAAAATATTATCTAATACTGTTACTTTAAGAAAACCTGCAGTAACCCCTTCTGAAAAAGATTAATCACACGTAATTTGTTACATATTAAAATAACTGCTCCTAAATAGTGATGTGGCCTTGGGCAAGCTCTTTCAAGTTTCTGTGAGCTCCAGCTTTTCCTTATCTGTGTGGTAAAAGAATATGAGACTATGTCTGCGCTCTCTTTCAGATTATAAGTCTCTATAAATTATTCAACTCAAATGTCCCCATGGGTTTACTTAAAGGATAGTTTTGTCCACTTATGAACAACTGTGTTTCATCAAAATCAGAATTTACTGAATGTTCATTCATTTTAACTTTTTTAAGTGGTTTGTCACAGAATTCCTTTCAATGCTGAGATTTTCAAATATATTGCAACCATCGAGAGGACATTCTTGAATATTCACTATAAGCCTGATGCTATGCGAGGTGCCAGAGATACAAGAGGGAACTTGACAGGTACAGTCTGTCTCCCACAAAGCTTATGGCTGAGTTTTTAAAATGTAATTCAAGCTTTTCAGGAATACAGTCAATCCATAAAGCAATAGGGAGAAACATTTCCAATATCAAGAGGCACTGATGAATGAATGTGTGAATAACTAAATTTTGTAACTTTTTTTGTAGACATAAAAATAAGCATTCACTGTGTCATCCTTAAATAAAATCATTGGCAGAGTGTAGCCTATAAATGTCTGGAAATACCTCACCAAAGGCTAGAAGACATTTTGCCAGAAGGAAGTAATGTTTACATTTCTATATTTTGTTTCTTTTTCCTCTACATATGCATTTTGTCCTATGTCTATGTCTCCTTCTTAATAGGCTTTGACATGAACCCAAAGCAAATGTTTCCTATTATTTTATCTATTTATTGAATATACATTGTTTTCTGAATGCTATTCCTTTCATTTACCAGTTCTAGTAGTCTGGGTTTGCTCTTATTTCTCTTTACTCTAAAATGGTTTTTTTAATCTGTAACACAGAACTTAGTGCTTGGTTATATATAGGTAGGCATTGTTTTCTAAAAACACTGGTTTACAAAATGGAATGTGCACACTACAGGGAATGTGCAAATGATCCTTGAGGATACAGGAAGGAAGTGTTAAAGTTTCTATTTATTTTGGTAACTTATAAACTTTCTATTTGTTACAGTGTGAGTTCTGGTGTATATAGTCAAGCCATATGCTAGTACATGGGATAATGTATAAATAAACATGTAAGTGTCGATAAGTACTCAACTCTTTTTTACTGAGAGGGCTTTAGGCTTTTTTTTTTTTTAAGTTTCAATACCACAGTTCAAATGTGTGTGTTGGTCTTATCTATGTAATTGTTTTGTGTGCTCTTTCAGGGAGTGGTGGTGTCTTGTGTCTCTTACTCTGTCCAAAGGACCTTGTATGTATAAATGCGAATAAATATTTATTGAACTCCACTAATAAATGATTCCATTCTTCAGACCATCAAACTAAGGACTACGCTTTGAACATGCTTTGGAAACATTTTCATTAAAGCCAAAATGTCTCAGAAATGTTTAATTAAAAAATAAAATTGGCCGGGCGCAGTGGCTCACGCCTGTAATCCCAGCACTTTGGGAGACCGAGGCTGGCAGATCACAAGGTCAGGAGTTTGGGACCAGCCTGGCCAATATGGTGAAACCCCGTCTCTACTAAAAATACAAAAATTAGCCAGGCATAGTGGCAGGCGCCTGTAGTCCCAGCTACTCGAGAGGCTGAGGCAGGAGAATCGCTTGAACCCAGGAGGTGGAGGTTGCAGTGAGCCGAGATCACACCACTGCACTCCAGCCTGGGAAACAGAGTGAGGCTCTGTCTCAAACAAAATAAATAAATAAAATTAAAAGGGAAGACAAAGATATTTTTCTTTGTACCAGTAGAAGGAAGATTTAATGAAAAATAAACTGCAATAGTAAATTTAGAAGTAATACTGAAAGAGCAACTGGGAAGTCTTAGATGAAGTTGTCACCAGCTTCTTCAAAGCAATGAAATATCCAGTTGTCCCATTTAATTCTCATTTGGTATAATTTTTCATTGATAAGAATAATTCATAATTAACCAGCTTACATATGCTTCTTAAATTTTAGTGTACATAAGAATTGCTAAGAAGTAGGCTTAAATGCAAATTCTCAGGCTCCAGCCCAGGGATCCTAATTCAGCAGTTCTAGAGGTTATTCAGAAATCTGCATTTTCATGAAGTACCCTGGATGATTCTAATGGATGTTGTCTGTAACACAACTTTCAGATAAATGTCCTGTATAAGCATATTCTATCTTGCCATTAGCCATGAGAATTTGATTAAAGAAACAAATCTAAGAACCCAACTACTAGTCTATTACTCCAACCATTCCTTCTTGCCAACTGTGATCAGAAGTATGAAAAAAACAGCCCATGTTCTTCCTTAGAGGAAGACCATATCCCAACTGTGAAATGGTCCAGACATCTTGGAACTGAATATGGATTGTGATCCTGATACCCCCAACCCTCACTGCTCTTCATATACCAGCTGAGCATTTCATAATATTTATTCGATAAACCTTTCCTTGGTCCTGAGCCTCCTTGCTTCCCGACCTACTCCATGTAGCCTGGCTACTCTTATTTCCATGAGGTGGGCTGTCTTCTGGCCCTCCCATCATCCCCAACAGATGTGAACATGAGGGACCTTGGAGCAGGGGTAGATACTCCAGTGCAAAAATAGTGGACACTCACCTCTTCTAAGACCTTTTATCAATCATTCTCTAAACACCTCTCAAACATGTCCTTCCCTTGTATTTCCTCTTTCAGTGGATTAAACCACTGTCCACTCAACTGTCTGAGTGAGAAGATTGGATTCAGTGAGTTTTCAGGTCCTACCAAGTCTATTTCAAAGTGTCATTTCAATGATTTTATTTCCTTTGCTTCTAAATAGTGGCATACATGGATATCAAGTACTGTAGTGGGTTCAAAATTGGAGAAATGGATTTTGAAGTCATCTTTTTGCAGGTACAAGAGAAGCCATATTGAGTCAGTCAGAGAAGAGAAGACAGGAAAAGTAGAATAAAATCTTTAGAATATTCAAAGCATTACACAAATGTAATGTTTTATTATTAACTGTGACTTCATTTTGGTTCCAATTCTGTCCAGAGAAATTTGAATGCTGGAGTTTTGGGAATTTTAAGGCTTTGAGCAAGGAACATTTTATGATCCTCTGCTTACCACTTGTTTATTTACAACAGAATTTCAGCAATGAAGAGAAAGTTATTTTTGTAGGAAAAAAAATCCTACAATGCTTACTTCATACAAATTAGTTGTGCCTTGGGTTCAGATTAACATACACACTCAAAAGACTTGGTGGGCTGTTATACGGCAACTTATTTATTTAGCTTTGTAGAGGAATATTGGATATGGAAACATAGCTTGTCAGCCTGACAGCATTAGACATCTTCATCAGGAGTCTTTATGTATTCTAGATGCTGATTCTTAACCCTCTCATCTCATGGGAATATGCATGGTCATAGTAGACAAGACCACAGGAGTAGGGGAGAGGCACGGGGGAGCCATTCTAGGATGGAAGAATCTCTCACATGACAGGAACCACATCTTATACCAACCCATGAGTGAGGATTCCAAGAAAACAGGCATATTCGGATTCAAGAAACACACCATAACAGAGTCCAGGGCCTACATTTCCCAACAGGTTTTCATACGGGTCTGGTCATATAGGTCCACCAAGTCTAAATGCCTGCCCGCAGTCTGCCCAGCATAGATGTAGTTCACCAACCAGGGGTCATTTCCACACTTATAAATAAATAAATAAATAAATAAATGTGATTTTTTAAAATACAGCTGACATTTCACATTTATCCAAACAGTACATTTCAAAGAAACAGTAAGTATAAGGTAAACTGGAGTTCATCTTCCCATGGGAAAAAAGAGCTTAAAACTGTTGTTAACCCTTTGACCTACCAACAAACATTGCTTACTCCCACTCAAGAGCTCATTCCAGTTAGGACACAACCTGGTGACAGCCCTTCCTGGTAGCAACTACTGAGCATTGCAAGGAGAAGAAATTGGGATGGGTGCCTATAAAGAGAAAAACTCTCTTTTTAACCTTCAAATCTAAAGAAAATCAATCCAACAAGCATTTGCTGCAAACCTAGTGCCAAGCACTGCCACATAGGAAGATGCATCTGCCATCTGTCAAGACAGACTGAGGGAGGAATGGGGGTAGAGACCAATTAGAAAACAGGAAAAAACGAGACCAGCTGGGGACAGCTGCAGCAAAGCACCCTGAGGATACTAAACACCCTCAGTATTTAGCTAGGATGGCCTAAAAGAGCTAATCTGAAAGAATTCATAAATCATATGGATGCTTCTATTATAAATTAGAGGAAAGGCAGATTTATACATCATGAAGCCTATAAGGTAAATATTATCTAGTAGTATGAACATAGCTTCACCACACAGCCTCCTAAAAATCTATGGATACTTTCCTGAAAGTACCCCTGAAGGCATTCCTCCTGGATTCTGTGAAGTAAATTAGCCCTCAAGGTGTACCCAGCAAGGGCTCAATAGAGTGCACAATAAATGCTCAACACACATCTATCTTCCTCCCCTCCCACTATCCAAGCTTCATGCCTACCTCATGAATCTCCAAGTTCCTTTCTCTCCTGTCCCTGGAGCATAGATGAATCAGAATCCCTGCTTGCCACCCCATTGGACACCTTGAAAAGAGACCCTTGGAATGGCTATGACAACACATCAGTCCTGGCTACGAGTGTAAGACCCTGGGCATCAGGAAGCCTCAGGCCATGAGCTATTGAATGTCGCTTGTCACTTTGCCCTTTGAGGACCAGAAATAAAGCTTCCAGTTCCTGTGAAATGGCAAATAGGTAGGTTCAGGCTTCCAGCTCCCTCACCCAAAATTAATTTTTGTAAAGGTAGAGAAGCAAAAGGAAGCAAGGATCTGGGGAGCTGGCAACACCAGAAATAAGTATAAAGTGTTTTTATATTTGCCAGGAGAGACAGAACTGCTGTCTTGAGCTGGTGTGCGTAGAGAATGGGCAGGGCTGCATCCTGGGAGATAAGCCACAGTGGGAGAACAGGCTGCAGGAAGACTTTTTAATTTCTGCACTATGTCCTTCCCAATCGGCTTGGGACAATTGTTGCCTCCCCTTCATACATAAACAGGCTGCAACAGGCCAGGCTACTTGTATCTTCAAGGTAAATCAGTAGGGAACAGATGAAACTAGGGGTGAGCTTTTGGGTATTCTCTTCTCCACTACTCACGACCACTGCCCCAACTCCCAGCGCTGGTGAATCCCAACGTGGAGCACCTGCCTACTCCCAACTGTGCTTTTCCTAGGAGTTGCCTGAAAGAGTAGTGGCAAATGGGGAGATCCACAGTGTTTCTGGGCTCTCTACCAGGGCTGGATCTGGAGGGACACAGACCAGTATTTGACTTTATCTCTTCCCCATTACACATTACCCCACAGACTAGCTGGTGCCCTCCTGGAGACGTGAGCTCACAGATCAACATAATGATATGGCTAAGGAACAAAAAAATTGCAAAACATAGACAACAAATTAACACCATATACTATCTAATGCAGAATTGTGAAGAAGATGAACCAAGAACTTGAAACAAAATGGCAAATATACTTAAGATAATAGAAGATACCAGCAACATAAAGCAAAACCAGTAACTCACAAAAACAAAGACAGAATATTAGATGTTAAAACTATAACAGTAGAAGTTGTAAATACTATAGATTAGACAAGTACCAGGATAAATATAGCTGAAGAATAATTTGTGAGGTAAAAGATAAGATGAAAGATAATCCCAGAAGACAGTAGGAAAGAATAAAGACATCAAAAATATAAAAGAAAGTTCAGCAAAATGTATGCTAGAAATAGAAGTATCAACATCTGAATCATAAGAGAACTCACAGTGAGAGGAAAAAAATATATACGTGAGAAAATAATGACTAATAAATTTACAATTTTTTTTTAATTATGAAAGACCTCAGAGAAAAGGGTTCAAAGGATACTTAACAGGAGCTTCAGAAAAATCCACACCTATGCTCGTTATATTGAGACAAATAAATATTTTTAAAACTTAGAAAGAAGAGTTTATCAACTGGGCACAGTGGCTCACGCCTATAATCCCAGCACTTTGGGACTTTGGGAGGTAGAGGCGGGTGGATCACTTGCGGACAGGAGTTCGAGACCAGCCTGGCCAATATGGTGAAACCCTGTGTCTACTAAAAATACAAAAATTAGCCCCGCCTGGTGGCGTGTGCCTGTAGTCCCAGCTACTCGGGAGGCTGAGGCAAACCCGGGAGGTGGAGGTTCCAGTGGGTGACAGAGTGATACCCTATCAGAAAAAAAAAAAAAAAAAAGAACAGTTTACAAAGGAGTAAGATCAGATTGATGTCAGACTTTTCAACAGCAATGAATGCAAGAATAAAATAAAATAATATTTTTATAGTAGTGAAGGAAAATAAACTGGAGTTTAGAACTTTATATGTATCAAAATTGCTATTCAAGTGAGATGGCATAACAAATTTATTATCATGCAAAGAATCCAAAGGCTCATATTTAAAACACTCTTGGACGTGGTAAAAAAAAAAAAAAAAAAACACTCTTAGAGGAAGTACACAAAAAGAGAATCAAATCAAGAAATTTACAACAAATATAAGGGTGATTTGTCAACAAATCCAGGACCATATTTTTAAAAGAGGGTAAATGAATGTGTGTGTGTGTAATATCTACTTGGTAGGAGAATTGGCATTAGAGGGAGGGAAGTAGAAAATCAAAAGAACATAAGAGTATGCTAAAGAACTTAGGAGGCAAGATATAAATATTAAGGTAGTTAAGACATTTTAAAAGGTAAATGCTCACTGTGTTAAATTAAAGGCAACCACCATAAGAACAGAATCAGTATGTATAACTTTTAATACAGCAGAAAAAAATCAGTCTATCAAATGGAAAGCAAGAAAAGGGAAGAAACATTGTACAATAAAAACAGAATGTGAAATGAGTTGCAAAAGTAAATCTTTACTTCAGCAGTTACCAATAAAAGAACAAAGGCTCTAATAATGGAGGAAAAAGGGAACCAAATCATGTGTGATTTATAACAAATACTCTTTTTTAACTTTTAAGTTCAGGGGTAAATGTGCAGGTTTGTTTCATAGGTAAACTTGTGTCAGGGAGGTTTGTTGTACAGATTATTTCATTACCCAGGTATTAAGCCTAGTATACATTAGTTATTTTTCCTGATCCTCTCCCTCCTCCCACCTCCACCCTCCAATAGGCCCATGTGTGCAGTTCCCCTCTGTGTGTCCATGTGTTTTCACAATTTACCTCCCACTTATAAGTCAAAACATCTGGCATTTGATTTTCTCTTCCTACATTATTTTGCCAAGGATAATGGCCTCCAGCTCCATCCATGTCCCTGCAGAGGACATGATCTCATTCTTATTTATATCTGCATAGTATTCCATGGTGTATGTGTATCACGTTTTCTTTATCCAGTCTATCATTAGTGGGCATTTAGGTTGATTCCAAGTCTTTGATATTGTGAATAGTGCTACAGTGAACATATGTGTTCATGTGTCTTTATAATAGAATGATTTATATTCCTTTGTGTATGTTCCCAGTAATGGGATTGCTGGGTCAAATGGTATTTCTGTCTTTGGGTCTTTGAGGAATTGCCACACTGTCTTCCACAATGGTTGAACTAATTTACACTCCCACCAACGGTGTAAAAACGTTCATTTTTCTCCATAACCTAGCCAGCATCTGTTATTTTTTGACTTTGTAATAGTAGCCATTCTGACTGATGTGAGATGGTATCTCATTGTGGTTTTGACTTTCATTTCTCTAATGATCAGTGATGTTGAGCTTTTTTTCATATACGTGTTGGCTGCATGTATGTCTTCTTCTGAAAAGTGTTCATGTCCTTTGCCCACTTTTTAATGGTTTTTTTTTCTTGTAAATTTATTTAAGGTCCTTATAGATGCTGGATATTATACCTTTGTTGGATGCATAGTTTGCAAAATTTTCTCCCATTCTGTAGGTTGTCTGTCCACTCTGTTGATAGTTTCCTTTTTAGTGCAGAAGCTCTTTAGTTTAACTAGATCCTGTTGGTCAGTTTTGCTTTTGTTGCAATTGTTTTTGGCATCTTTGTCATGAAATCTTTGCCAGTATATCCTGAATGGTATTGCCTAGGTTGTCTTCCAGGATTTTTATAATTTTGAGTTTTATATTTAAGTCTTTAATCCATCTTGAGTTAAGGTGGATGGTGTAAGGAAGGGATGCAGTTTCAATCTTCTGCATATGGCTACCCAGTTTTCCCAGCACCATTTATTGAATAGAAAATACTTTCCCCATTGCTTGTTTTTGTCAGATTTGTTGAAGATCAGACAGTCATAGGTGTAGTTTTATTTCTGTGTTCTTTATTCTGTTCCATTGGTCTATGTGTCTGTTCTTGTACCAGTGCCATGTTGTTTTGGTTACTATAGCCCTGTATAGTTTGAAGTTGGGTAGTGTGATACTGCTAACGTTGTTCTTTTTGCTTCAGATTGCCTTGGCTATTCTGGCCCTTTTTTGTTTCACATGCATTTTTAAATAGTTTTTCTAGCTCTGGCCGGGCACGGTGCCTCAGGCCTGTAATCCCACCACTTTGGGAGGCCGAGGCAGGGGGAATCACTTGAGGCCAGGAGTTTGAGACCAGCCTGGCCAACATGGCGAAACCATGTCTCTACTAAAAATACAAAATTAGCTGGGCATGGTGGCGCATGCCTGTAATATCCCAGCTACTCGGGAGACTGAGGCAGGAGAATCGCTTGAACCTGGGAGACAGAGGTTGTGGTAAGCCGAGATCGCACCATTGCACACTAGCCTGGGCAACAAGAGCAAAAACTCCGTCTCAAAAAAATAATAATAATAATAATAGTTTTTCTAGCTCTGTGAAGTATCTCAATGGTAGTTTAATAAGAAGAGTATTGAATCTATAAATTGTTTTGGGCAGTATGGCCATTTTAATGATATTGATTCCTCTTATCCATGAGCATGAGATGTTTTTCCATTTGTTTGTGTCATCTCTGATTTCTTTGAACGGTGGTTTGTAGTTCTCCTTGTAGATATCTTTCACCTCCCCAGTTAGCTATATTCCTAGGTATTTTATTTTTTTTGTGACAATTGTGAACGGGAGTTCATTCCTGATTTGGCTCTCAGCTTGACTGTTGTTTGGTGTATAGGAATACTAGTAATTTTTGCACATTCATTTTGTATTCTGATATTTTGCTGAAGTTGTTTATCAGCTTAAGAAGCTTTTGGGCTGAGACAATGGGGTTTTCTAGATATAGGATCATGTCATCTACAAACAGGGATAGTTTATCTTTCTCTCTTCCTATTTGGACGTCTTTATTTGTTTCTTTTGCCCAATTGCCCCAGCCAGGACTTCCAACGCTATGTTGAGTAGGAGTGGTGAGAGAGGGCATCCTTGTCTTGTGCTGGTTTTTAAGGGGAATGCTTCCACCTTTTGCTCATTCAGCAAGATGTTGGCTGTGGGTTTGTCATATATGGCTCTTATTATTTTTGAGGTATATTCCTTCAATACCTAGTTTATTGAAAGTTTTTAATATGAATGCATATGGCAAATCCTCTTAAAGCAGAAAGATATGTAAAGATTGAAATTTAAAAACAGGGAAAAAAGATTTACCTGGTGGCAAATATGACACAAAAGAAAGTTGGGCAACAGTCTCAATATGTAACAAAATAGAATTGATTTTTTTTTGGGAGGGGGACAGAGTCTTCCTCTGTCTCCCAGGCTGGAGTGCAATGGCACAATCTCGGCTCACTGCAACCTCTGCCTCCTGGGTTCAAGTGATTCGCCTGTCTCAGCCTCCCGAGTAGCTGGGATTACAGGTGTGCCACCATGCCCAGCTAATTTTTTGTATTTTTAGTAGAAACAGGGTTTCACCATGCTAGCCAGGCTGGTCTTGAACTTCTGACCTCAGGTGATATACCCGCCTCAGCCTCCCAAAGTGCTAGGATTACAGGCATGAGCTACCGTGCCCGGCCTATGCACTTTATTTATTTATTTATTTATTTATTTATTTATTTATTTATTTTTGAGACAGAGTTTCACTCTTGTTGCCCAGGCTGGAGTGCAATGGTGCGATCCCGGTACACTGCAGCCTCTGCCTCCTGGATTCAACCGATTCTCCCTACTCAGCCTCCCGAGTAGCTGGGATTACAGGCATGTGCCACCATGCTCGGCTACTTTTGTATTTTTAGTAGAGTTGGGGTTTCATCATGTTGGTTAGGCTGGTCTTGAACTCCTGACCTCAGGTGATCCACCTGCCTCAGCCTCCCAAAGTGCTAAGATTACAAGCGTGAGCCACGACGTCCAGCCTGCACTTTATTTTTAACCTTAAATTCTATTTTGGGCCAGGTGCAGTGGTTCATGCCTGTAATCCCAGCATTTCGGGAGGCTGAGGAGGACGGATTACCTGAGGTCAGGAGTTCGAGATCAGCCTGGCTAACATGGTGAAACGCCATCTCTACTAAAAATACAAAAAGATTAGCCGGTCATGGTGGCACGCACCTGTAATCCCAGCTACTCGGGAGGCTGAGGCAGAAGAATCGCTTGAACCTGGGAGATGGAGGTTGCAGTGAGCCAAGACTGTGCCACTGCACTCCAGCCTGGGCAATAAGAACGAAACTCCATCTCAAAAAAAAATAAAAATAAAAAAAATAAAGTGCATAAAGGACAAAAGAAAAGATGTTCATATAACTTTTAAAGAAACAAGAAGATATAGTAATCATAAATATATATAAACTCAACAATACAGCCTCACAATTTATAAAGCAACAAGTGAAAGAACTACAGTTAGAAGTTGAGTTTTTTAAAAATACATTTGATGATTTTTACAAACCCTCTCTCAAAAACTGGTAGATAAACTAGACCAAAAAGAAAAAAAAAAAAAAAGCAGAGTTCTTGAAGGGCAAAATAATAAAATTATATAAGTTCAAGCTAATTAATAAAACCTGAATAAATAAGAAACTGATAGACTCTCTCACATTAAAAATGACCAAAGAGACATGAAAACTTACTGAAATGCTTGATTCTGGATTGCAGGACAAGAGACTGGGAGTGGCTGGAGTTATAAGGTTCTTTATTGGGAAAACTGGTAAAATTTGAATATGTACTGTGGATTAGCTAATATTATATCCAAGTTAAATTTTCTTAATATGACTGTTTTTCTGTGTTTATGTAAGAGAACAGCCTTGTTCTTAGGAAATACATTGAAATATTTAGCAGGAAAGGGGCATGTGTGTATGTAACTCCAGACTTCCTAACCATTTTAGAGTAAACCATTTTTTCTCTCTAATGTTTTTTCATAACCATTTTAGAGTAAGTCCCTAAAATGGACTTAGGAATATTAATGTTTTTTAGGAAAAAAACAGAGAGGGAAGCAGAGACAGAGAGAAAAAGAAAGCAAATATGACAAAATGTTGCAAATCATTGAATTTGGACAAGTGTACGTAAGAATTCTTTGTACTACTCTTCTAAAATTACTTCAAAATAAAAAGTTTTTAAATGTCACAAGTAACCTGTGAGTTAAAAGAAAAATATAAAGAATATGTAGAATTAAATAAAAATTAAAACACTGCATATCAAAATGTGTTAGATATGATTAAAGCAGAACTTAGAAGGAAATTTTTTACCTTTAAATACACTTACTAGGAAACACAAAAAAAGACCAAAATCAATAAGCTGAGTGTTCAACTCAAACGCTAGGTAAAGAGGAAGAGAATACACCCAAAGGAGGAAGGAAATAGTAAAGATAGTCATAAATGAAATAGAGAACTAAAAACAATAAAATAGATGAACAAAAACAAAAGCTGCCCTTTGAAAAGACATTTCTATTTATTATTCCAGGAAACAGAATGAAGAACAAAATCTGCCTAGGTTATTGTTTAGAGAAATTTTTATTACAAAAACAAACAAGGAAATACAAGAAAGGCAAGTTTTACGTCCATGCTTTATAAAAGTAAATACAACAACCCAAGTAAAATATTAACTAAATAACACCAACAGTAAATGTGTAACTATAGGATGAACAAATAGGGTTTATCCCAGGAATGCAAAGATGTTTCACATTTTAAAAATCTCTCAATATAATTCACTATATTAGGAGATTAAGAAGGAAAATACAATGAAATGAGTCAATTCTGATAAACTATTTTTTAAATGTAAAAAACCATTTATGTTTAAAAAATAAACTTTTAGAAAACCAGGAATAAAAGGAAACCTACTAATTTAGTAAAGGTTGACAGCAAAGACTTCTGGAAAAATTGAGTAGACATACTTTTTCCTATTCATCTCACTAAGTACAACTAAAAACTCTGGACATTATATATATATAAAACAAACATAAGAAGACTCTAAAAGGTGGAAATGAGAAGGCAGAACAGCTAGAATCTCAGGATCTGAGGAATGACATACTAGTGAGTTCCCTGGGCTTTCTTTTTGCCACATATATGCTGGGCTTGGAGCTGAAGAAAGTGACAATTTGGAAAGACCAACTGGCACAAACAAACAAACAAACAGAAAAAGCCCCAACAACACTTACAACAAAAGCCCTGATATCACTAGCCAAAAGACCAAGACAGAGGCAGGCAAGCCTGTCAAGCCTTAGAAAGTAACTGTTCAGTTCTAGGCAAATACCATAGCAATAACTGTGACTCTACTGCCATTCACACCAGAAAGACCAAGTGGGAGACCTAAACTTTCACCCTCTTGAAGCTGTAACAAGGTGCTCCAACATCACTCTGCAGTGGTATCCAAGAAGACCAATTAGGAAGCTAAGAATTTCATTTCTGCAAGCCAGTAATGGGGCCCCCTCTCTAAGATGTCAATGGAGATGGGGGCGGGGGGAGAACACCTGCCCAGAAATAATGAAAATGGCTAAAAGAAGTTATCTAAACAGAATGGAAATGATAAAATAGGAACCTTGGAACATCAAGGAAGAAGATAGAACAAGGTAAGCAAATAGATGGGTAAATACAATAAATTTTTCTTCTCCTCTTAAGTTTTCTAAAGTATGTTTGATGGTTGAAGCCAAAATTATAACACTGATGTGGTTCTAAATGTATGTAGAGGAAACATTTAAGACAATCGTATTTTCAGTGAGGAGGATAAAGGGATGGGACATAAATTAGGAAGGTAAGATTTTTATTATTTACTCAAAATGGTAAATGATGACTCCAGCAGACTGTGACAAGTTACATGTATATGTAATACTTAAAGCAACCACTTAAAAGTTATGCATCAATACACTCAAAAACACTGTAGATAAATAAAACTGGCGTTCTAAAAAATGCCCAAGTAAGCCACAGAAAGTCAGAAAAGAGTAAACAGAGATGAAAACTGGAGAGAACAAACAAAATAAATGAAAAACAATTAAGCCCTTCATGTTACTACAGGTTGGATTGTGTCCCACAGAATCCCATGTTGAAGCCCTAACCACCAATGGGACTATATTTGGAGATAGGGCCTTTTACAGAAGTAATTCAGGTTAAATGAATTCATAAGGGTAGGGCCATGATTCAATAGGATTAATTCAATAGGAAGAGAAACCAGGGTATGCTCTCTTGCTCTTTCTCCCTCCCAGCCTTCCTCTCTCTTTCTCTCTCACTCTGCCCCCAGAAGATGGCAACTCTCTCTATAAGCCAGGAAGAGCCCTTACCAGAAGCTGACCATGCTGGCGCCTTGATCTCAGACTTCCAACCTCCAGAACTGTGAGAGAATATATTTCTGTTGTTTAAGCCACCTAGTTTTATTTTGTTATGGCACCCCAAGCTAATACATATATCAATAATTACATTATTCCTAATACAAAGAAATGATAAATTCTTGAGGTGGTAGATGCCCCAATTACTCTGATTTGGTCATTGCACATTGTATGCCTGTAACTAACATCACATGTACCTCACTAATATATACAACGGTTGTGTACCCATAATAATTAAACATAAAAATTAAGAAAAAAAATTACACTAAATGCAAATGATCTAAATACCTCAATTAAGAAACCCAGTTCAGGCCAGGCATGGTGGCTTACACCTGTAAACCCAGCACTCTACAAAAAAAAACAAACAAACAAAAAACAAAAACAAAAACAAAAAAAAACCCAGTTCAAATATAACAATATAGGCCAGGCTCAGTGGCTCTCAGCACTTTGGGAGGCTAAGCCAGGTGGATAATTTGAGGTAGGTCAGGAGTTCGAGACCAGCCTGGCCTACATGGTGAAACCCCGTCTCTACTAAAATACAAAAATTAGCCAGGCATGGTGGTGTGCACCTGTGGTCCCAGCTACTCAGGAGGCTGAGGCAGGAGAATCGCTTGACCCTGGAAGACAGAGGTTGCCGTGAGCAGAGATTGTGCCGCTGCACTCCAGCCTAGGTGACAAGATGAGACTTTGTCTCAAAAAAAACACAAAACAAACAAAAACAACAATAAAACCACACAAATATAACAACATAGGCAGGTTAAAAGTAAAAGGATGGAAAAAGACACAACATGTTTTCCTTAATTAGAGGAATACAGGAGTGAGTGTACTACTCTCAGATAAGGTAAACTTCAGAGCCAAAACAAAAAAAATTACCAGAGAAAGATAAGGACGTTTTATAATAATAGAAGGGTCAGTCTATCAAGAAGACATTGCAGTCAGAAATGTTTATGCCCAAAACACCAGAGCTGTAAAATATGTGAAGCAAAAACTGACGGAACTGAAAGAAAAAATAGAAAATCCACAATTATAATTGGAGACATCAACACAACTCTCACAACTATTAATAAAACTAGAAAGAAGGCAGGGAGTGGTGGCTCAGGCCTGTAATCCCAGCACTTTGGGAGGCCGAGGGGGGTGGATCACGAGGTCAGGAGATCGAGACCATCCTGGCTAACACGGTGAAACCCCGACTCTACTAAAAATACAAAAAATTAGCTGGGCGTGGTGGCGGGCGCCTGTAGTCCCAGATACTCGGGAGGCTGAGGCAGGAGAATGGCGTGAACCTGGGGACGGAGCTTTCAGTGAGCTGAGATCCTGCCACTGCACTCCAGCAGCCTGGGGGACAGAGCAAGACTCTGTCTCAAAAAAAATAAAAATAAAAAAATAAAAACTAGAAAGAAAATCAGCAAAGATGTAGAAGAGCTCAATAACACCATCAACCAACAGGATCAAATCCACATTTACAGGACACTCCACCCATCAATAGCAGAATACACATTGGCTCTTTTTTGTTGTTTTTCTTTTCCGGTTTTACTAGGTGCAAGGGGTACATATGCAGGTTTGTTACATGGGTAAATTGCGTGTCACAAGGGTTTGGTGTACAGATAATTTTAAAAGAATTTAAATTATACAAACTTTTCTCTGACTACAATGGAATCAAATTAGAAATCAATAACGGAAAGACAGCAGAGGAAAAATCATCAGCATAATACCCGATAGGTGCTTTTTCAATCATCACTGTCCTCCCACCCTCCACCCTCAAATAGGCCCCAGTGTCTATTTTTCCCATCTTTGTGTCCATGTGTATGCAATTAGCTGGTTTTTTGCTCCTGCGGTAATTTGTTTAGGATTATGGCCTCCAGTTCCATCTATGTTGCTGCAAAGGCCATGATCCCATTTTTTATAGCTGTGTAGTATTTCATGGTGTATATGTACCACATCTTCTTTATCCAGTGCACTGTTGATGAGCACTGGATAAAGAAATCTAGGTTCATTCCATGTCTTTGCTAACGTGAATAGCAGTGTGATGAACATGCATGTGCATGTGTCTTTATGACAGAACAATTTATATTCTTTTAGGTATATACCCAACAATGGAATTGCTGGGTTGTATGGGAATTTTGCTTTAAGTTCTTTGAGAAATCTCCAGACTGCTTTCCACAGTGCCTGAACTAATTTACATTACCCCCAATAGTGTACAAGTGTTCCTTTTTCTCCACAACCTTGTTAGCACCTGTTGTTTTTGACTTTTTAACAATAGCCATTCTGACTGGGGTGAGATGGTGTCTCATCATTGTTTTGATTTGCATTTCCCTAATGATTAGTTATACTGAGCATTTTTTTCACATGCTTGTTGGCCGCACAGAATATACATTCTTTTGAAGTGTCCATGCAACATATACCAAGTTGGACTATATCCAGGGCCATAAAACAAATATTGATAAATTTAAAAGAATATAAATTATACAGAATGTGTTCTCTGACTACATTGGAATCAAACTAGAAATAAATAACAGAAAGATGACAGAGGAAAGTCAAGAAACTAAGCGAAAACTTTTAAATACTCTACGAGTCAAAAAATAAATCTCAAAGGAAATTTAAAAATACACTGAATTGAAAGAAAATAAGAATACAACATATCAAAAATTTCTAGGAGAGACAACCCACAGAATGAGAGAAGATATTTGCAAACTACCCCTCTAACAAAGGATTAATAACTAGAATATATAAGGAGTTCAGACAACTCTATAGGAAAAAAGAGTTCAATAGTCCAAACAAAAAATGAGCTGATCTGAATAGACATTTCTCAAAAGAAGACATACAAATGGCAATCAGGCTTATGAAAGGTGCTCAACATTATGAATCATCAGAGAAATGCAAATCAGAAGTTCAATGAGATATTATCTCACTTCAGTTAAAATAGCTTGTATGCAGGCTGGACACGGTGGCTCACACCTGTAATCCCAGCACTGAGGGAGGCCGAGGCGGGCAGATCACCTGAGGTCAGGAGTTCAAGACCAGCCTGGCCAATATGGTGAAACCCTGTCTCTACTAAAAATACAAAAATTAGCTGGGCATGGTGGGCCATGCCTGTAGTCCCAACTACTTGGGAGGCTGAGGCAGAAGAATCGCTTGAACCTGGGAGATGGAGGTTGCAGTGAGCAGAGATTGGGCCACTGCACTCCAGCCTGGGCAACTGAGTAAGACTCCATCTCAAAAAAAAATGGCTTGTATCCAAAAGACAGGCAATAACAAGTACTGGTGAGTATGTGGAGAAGGCTTTGTACACTGTTGGCAGGAATATAAATTAGTACAACCACCATGGAGAACAGCTTGGAAGTTCCTCCAAAAAAATTAAAATTGAGCTACCATATGATCCAGCAATCCCACTGCTGGGAATATACCCGAAAGAAAGAAAATTAGTATTTCAAAGAGATATCTGCACTCCTATGTTAATTGCAGCATTGTTTACAATAGCTAAGACTTCGGAGCAACCTAAGTGTCTATCGACAGATGAATGGATAAAGAAAATGTGGTACATACATACAATGGAGTACTATTTAGCTAGAAAAAAGAATGATATCCAGTTATTTGCAACAACATAGATGGAACTGGAGATCATTATGTTAAGTGAAATAAGCCAGGTACAGAAAGACAAACATGACATGTTCTCATTTATTTGTGGGATCTAAAAATCAAAACAATTGAACTAATGGACATAGTGAGTAGAAGGATGGTTACCAGAGCCTGAGAAAAGTAGTGGATAGCTGAGCGGGGAGGTGGGGATGGTTAATGGGTACAAAAAAAGTAGAAAGAATGAATATGACCTACTATTTGATAGCACAATAGAGTGACTATAGTCAAAAATAACTTAATTGTATATTTTTAAGTTACTTAAAGAATGTAATTGAATTGTTTGTAACTCAAAGGATAAATGCTTGAGGGAATGGCTACCCCATTCTCCATGATTTGGTTATTTCACATTCCAGGCGTGTATCAAAACATCTCATGTACCCCATAAACATATACACCTACCATGAACCCACGAAATATTTTCAAAATAATAAAAAAAATTATAGGACACAGCTAAACCAGTGCTGAAAGGGAAATTTATAGCATTAAATGCATACATTAAAAAGAAGAAAAACTGGGTGCTACTTGGGAGGCTGAGGCAGGAAAGGATCACTTGAGCCCAGTAGTTCGAGGCCAGCCTGGGCAACATAAGGAGACCTTGTCTCTTTAAAAAAAAAAAAAAGTACACAAATTAATAATTCAAACTCTCATCTCAAGAGCCCAGAAAAAGAAGATCAAAATACATCCAAAGAAGAAAGGAAGGCCGAGCACTGTGGCTCACGCCTGTAATCCCAATAGTTTGGGAGGCCAAGGCAGGTGGATCACTTGAGCTCAGGAGTTAGAGACCAGCCTGCCCAACATGGTGAATCTCTGCTTCTACTAAAATTACAAAAAATTAGCCAAATGTGGTGGCAGGCGCTTGTAGTCCCAGCTACCTGGAAGGTTGAGGCAGGAGAATCACTTGAGCCCAGGAGGCGGAGGTTGTAGTGAGGTGAGATTGCACCACTGCACTCCAGCCTGGGCCACAGAGTGAGACACAAAAAGTTGCTTCTTTGAAAAGATCAGTCAACTGATGAACCTCTAGCAGACTACACTGACAAAGAAGAAAGAAAGAATATAGAAATGTCCACAGGGAATATCCCTACACACCCTGCAGACATCGGAAAAACATAAATGGTGCTGGAACAATTGAACATTCAAGGGCCATAGGAGGAGAGAAAGACAACAAGGAGGAAAAGAAGGAGGAGCAGCAGTTTAATCTAAGACTCATACCTTCTGCAAAAATTGACTCAATATGGATTACAAACTTCTATGCAAAATGTAAAACTATAAAACTTTTAGAATAAGATAGGGGAAAATCTTCTGAATCTAGATCTGGGCAACAAGTTCTTAGATTTGACACCAAAAACATGATCTGTAAAATGAAAAAATGGATATATTAGACCTGATTAAAACTAAAAACTGTTGCTCTGTGAAAGACTTGTAAAGGAATGAAAAGGCAAGCTACATAATGGAAGAAAATATTTGCAAATCATGTATCCAACAAAGGACTAGTATCTAGAATATATAACAACTTATCAAAACTCAGGCCAGGCCCCCTGGCTCATGCCTGTAATCCCAGCACTTTGGGAGGCTGAGGCGAGTGGATGACTTGAGGTCAGGAGTTTGAGACCAGCCTAGCCAACATGGTGAAACTCTGTCTCTACTAAAAATACTAAAAATTAGCTGGGCGTTGTGGCACACGCCTGTAATCCCAGGAGGTAGAGGTTGGGGTGAGCCGAGGTCATGCCACTGCACTCTAGCCTGAGTGACAGAGTAAGACTCCATCTCAGAAAAAAAAAGAAAAAAAATCAACAGTTTGAAAAAAATTAATTAGAAAATGGGAAAAATTCATGAAGAGACATTTCATTAAAAGGATATACAGATGGCAAATAAGCACATGAAAAGATGTTCGATATCATTAGCCATTAAGGAAACGCAAATTAAAACCACAATAAGATCTCACTACACACATATTAGAATGGCTGAAATAAAAAATAGTGACAATAAGCCAGGCGCAGTGGCTCATGCCTGTAATCCCAGAACTTTGGGAGGCTGAGGCAGGCGGATCATGAGGACAGGAGATTGAGACCATCCTGGCTAACATGGTGAAACCCCATCTCTACTAAAAATACAAAAAATTAGCCGGGCGTGGTGGCGGGCGCCTATAGTCCCAGCTACTTGGGAGGCTGAGGCAGGAGAATGGCGCGAACCCGGGAGGTGGAGCTTGCAGTGAGCCAAGATCGCACCACTGCACTCCAGCCTGGGCAACAGTGCAAGACTCCATCTCAAAAAAAATAAAAAAAATAGTGACAATACCAAATGCCTGTGAGGATGCAGTAAAACAATCACTCGCACATTGCTGGTGCAACCACTCTGGAAAACACTTTGACAGTTTATTTAAAAAACTAAAAATGCAACCACCATACAATTCAGCAGGTACACTCCTGGGCATTTGCTCCAGAGACATTAAGACTTATGTCCACACAAAAACTTATATTCATATCAGCCAAATCTGGAAACAACCCAGATGTGATGGACAGATGGCTAAACTAACTGTGCTATACCCATACCATATAATACAACTAGGCAATAATAAATTATTGATATATGCAACAACCTTGTATGATCTCCAGAGAAATACATTGAGAGAAAAAAAAGTCAATCCCAAAAGTGTATATACTATATGTTTCCATTTATTAATCATTTGTTTTAAAATGACAAAAAAAAATTTGTCTTGAAGTGACAAAGTCATAGAAATGGATAAGAGATTAGTGATTGCTAGACATTAAGGAGGGTATGGGATGGTAGGGAAGTGGGTGTGTCTAGAAAAGGGCAAGGTGAAGAATCCTTGTGATCATAGAAGTGTTCTGTATTGTGGCTGTATCCATGTATCCTAATTGTGATATTGTACCATAGTTTTGCAAAATGTTACCATCAAGGGAAACTGGGTAAAGGATACACAGGATTGTTTTTATTATTTCTTACCACTGCATGTGAATCTACAATATACAGCAAAATTTATACTTAATGGAGAATATTTAGGTTTATTTCCTTTAAGAGTAATGCTCATTATCACCCTACTGTTTGACACAGCATTGAAGATCCTAGTCAACAACATGAAAAATAAAACACTAAGGATTAAGAGGGAAAACACAAAACAATGCTCGCAGATGATACTATTATCTACCTGGAAAAAGAGAGAGACAGAGAGAATATCAATAACAACAATGACAACAACAACAACAAAAACCCCACTAAAACCAATAAGAGGATCGAGCAAGGTTGTCCCATATAAGATCAACTTACAAAAATTATTAATTTCTAATATTTGAAAATCATATATCAGTATTTGAATATCATATATCCAATAAAGGGTTAATATTCAGAATATGTAAAGAACTCATAAAACCCAACAATAATTGTTTATACAAACAGTTAAAAAGGGGGCAACAAACTTCAACAGACATTTTTCCAAAGATGATATACAAGTGGCAAACACACATATGAAAAGATGCTCAGCATTACTTATTATTAGAGAAGTGCAAATTAAAACCATAACATCATCTAATTCTCATTAGCATGGCTACTATAAAAATGAAAGGAAAAAGGAAAGAAGGGAGGGAATGAAGGAGGGAGCAAATGAAGGAGGAAAGGAAAGAAGGAAGGAAGGAAGGAAGGGAGAGAGGGAGGGAAGAAATAAGTGTTGGTGAGGATGTAGAGACATTAGAACCTTTATATGCAATGTTCGTGGGATTGTAAAATGTGTAACTGCTATGGGAAACAGTACGGCAGTTCCTCAAAAAATCAGTAGTAAAACTACTATATGACCCAAGAGTCCACTTCTGGGTATAAATGCAAAAGAATTGAAAGCAGGGACTTAAGCAGATATTTTCCCCCATATTCATAGCAGCACTATTCTCGATAGCCAAGAGGTGGAAGCAACAAAGATGTCCATAGACAGATGAATGGGCAAACAAAATATGGCATATACATACAGTAGCTTATTATTCAGCCTAAAAAGGAAGAAAGCACTCTTACATGCTGCAACAAGTATGAATTTTAAGGACATTAAGCTAAGTGAAATAAGCCAATCGCCAAAAGACAAAAACTCCATGATTGCACTTGTACAGGGTATCTGAAGTAGTCAGATTCATAGAAACAGAATGTAGAGTGATAGTAGCCAGGGGCTAGAGGAAGAGAGAAATGAGGAGTTGTTGTTTAATGGGTGTAGAGTTCTGGTTTTGCAAGGTGAAAAGGAGTTCTGGAGATTGGTTGCACAAAAATGTGAATATACTTAACACTGCTGAGCTGTACACTTCAAAGTGGTTAAGACGGTAAATGTTATTTTTTTAACCACAATTTTTTAAATTAGATACATTCTTCTACATCAGAAATTACTGATTCAAAAGTAGAATTGCAATAAGATACCAATCACAATAGCAGCAAAAGCTACAACATGCCTAAGAATTAACTGAGCATACTCAGGACTACTATGAAAAAGTAAAGTTTAAAAACCATAATAAAGAGCAAACAAAATGATTTCAATAAATGAGAAAACATCCTGTTTTTGCATGGTATGATTTAGTAATAAAAACAAGTCAGTTAACCCCAAATTTCTATAAATTCAGTATAACCACAATCAAAATTCAAGTGGGGAAGACAGAACTAGAAGTGAGTGTCCTCCCAAACTCCCCAGTAGGAAACTACAAACTTAGTTTCTGTTGCTACTATGCGCTTGTCATTGTCCAAGGCCAAAAGAAGCCCAGATTTTGCACCTCTCTCTCCACCCCACAACATTGACGTTTTTCCTTCTTGTTGTGAATGTACTTCCTGTCCTCCATCTGTCCTTCTGGACCCACTCTCAATACTTCTGCACCTGGGGTCTGCCTCAGGTGCTGACCTGCATGACATTGAATGGCTCCCATGCTCCCTGGCTTCTTCTTGCTTCCAGCATCAGCCTAAGAGCAGAGGGAAGAGGGGAGTGAGGTCAGTGTTTCTAATCCCTTGGCTTCCTCCCTACAAGGTCACCTTAAGCTGTTGTGTCCCTTGACTGAAGGGCACTGCCCTTGGCAAGGTGGTGACTGTACAGGGCTTGCTGTCCTTCTGAGTCCTGATAACCCCTTCTGTCCCCGGCCTCTTTGGACCTTGGGGTAGTAACAGCTATCCTCCACCCAGTTCTTTGTAAATACTTTGCTAATAAATAAACTTTCCTTGAAATGTCCTATTTCGAGTATGCCATCTGTTTTCTGTTGAGACTCTGATACAATAAAAGCCATTTCTTTATTCCCTGCCCCAGACCAGCACGGCCAGGGGCCTCTTGGAAGCCTCATATGAAATGGAAGAGGAAGGGTCTGGAGAAACAAGGAGCCCCCCATCTGGGAGTAGTCTCTATAGGTTTGGGGCCTCTCCACTCTCTGAAACCCCTGGAGACTGGTCTGGCCAAGTAGTGGCAGGAAGCACCACGGAGAAATCCCCCATGCCTTGCTTCAAGGCAGTTGGAGGGCTCTTGGGAATGACAGACACTCAAGCCAAAAAAAAAAAAGGATTTGAGGATGGGGTTGAACTCCACCCTCGTTTTTCATCTGATTTGCCCAATTTTACTTTGGAAAGAGAAAAACTTGAGAAAATGGCCTAAAGATAATTTTCATAAATAGACATTGGGATTAAATGTCAATCTTGTCTGTTTCTTTCACATGCATGTGTTCGTGGGTAGGGAGGCAAAGAGAACCTGGAACCTAGGAACATGCTCTCCCTCAGGGAAAAAAAAAATGCCAAGGATACCACCTCCCGTGGTGTATTTGAGATTTATTCTCATTGTCTTTAATGGTCAAAAGAAGAAGCTCAAATGTGGGGTCAACGCGTTTCTCTAAAATATTGTTATCTGCCCCAAGTGTTGAAGGAACTCCCTGCACTGTGTGTGCCCTTGTTAACACAGGCCCAGTTCTTTCATGGGAGGGGAGGTGGACTAGATGACCTTTAAAACCAATTCTAGCTCCAAGTTCAGCTTTTAAAACAACAAGACATTGAAGGGCGAAAACAATTCTTTGTGCAGCTTGGATTATGTATAACCCGAAAGTCCAGCTCTCTCTCTCTTCCCCCGCTCCCCTCCCTCCCTCTCTCTATGTCCCTCTCCTTCTTTCTCCCACTCCACTTCTCTCCTCTCACCCTTTTGCTCCCTCTCTCTTACTCTCTTCCACTCCTTCTCTTTTTTTCCTCTCTTTCTCTCACATGTGCTCAAGTGCACACACACACACACACACACGCACTCCTTTTTTGGCAATCCATTATGTTTACATTCCATTCTCCTCATGCAGCATCCATTCTCTTCTCCTCATCCTCCTACAATTGGTGCACCATCACCCTTCTTCCACCTTCCTTTCAAGTACCACTCATTCCCCTGTGTAAGAACTCCCCTTTCTACCTATAGTATTCTGATTTTCTGGATCCTAGGAGACCTACATATACTTTTCCCTATTCCTTACCTGAAAGGGGACAGCCTTTCCTATAAAACAAAAAACCTACAAAGTTAGGGCAGAGAAAAGCCTGCACTGGGAATCTCTAGAAAAGGAACTGGAAGCCGTCCCATTAGCTAACTCTCTACTTCCTTTCTCTGGGATCCTGCCACTTTGATTCCCACTGCTGTGACTAGAACTAGACCCTTCAGATCTGCAGCTTCTCCTTTAAAACTGTCCAGATAGGCCTAGTGCGGTGGCTCACGCCTGTAATCCCAGCACTTTGGGAGGCTGAGGCAGGTGGATCACTTGAGGTCAGGAGATCGAGACCAGCCTGACCAACATGGTGAAACCCCATCCCTACTAAGAAAATACAAAATTAGCCAGGCATGGTGGTGCACGCCTGTAATCTCAGCTACTTGGGAGGCTGAGGCAGGAGAATCGCTTGAACATGGGAGGCAGAAGTTGCAATAAGCCGAGATCACGCCATTGCACTCCAGCCTGGGCAACAAGAGCAAAACTCTGTCTCGAAAAAAAATAAATAAATAAAATAAAAATAATAAATAAAACTGCCCAGATATAGACAAGGCCCAAAGCCCCCCATTCCTAGACTAAACTAGAATTTCAAAAGGAATTTGCTTTGTCAAACAAACAAAAATAAAAACAAAAACAGTGAATAGAAAAAAATGAAAATGAAACATAAAAATGGTAAAATGTAGAGATTAAGTTCCTTCCACTGACTTCTTCTGTTAACCCCTTCCAGAAGAGATGCTCTAATTCCAAGGATGCTTCTGAAGAAATTATGGAGGTGTTCCAAATCAACTCATTTCTTGGTTTCTTTTTCTTACCCATATTCTAGTATCTAGCTCTAATTCCAAAAACAATTCCACACCCTAGGTTTCTGTGTCCAGCAGGTGTCGCCCTTCGTGGGACAACAAACCACCAGCCAGCATCCTCTCTTCCTTAGGGTGGAGTCCATTCCCCCAAAGGGCTCTCCTTGGTCTTGGGGTAGAAGGGAATGGAACGGTGGCTCTGAAGAGATGTGTGCTCACCAGCATGAGGGTCTTCAGAATAAAGTAATCTGCTACTTCCAGCTCAGGTAGACAAACATCCTACAGAAATCTGTTCTTTGACCTTGGACAAGTCACTTAAATGTCTCTGAGCCTCACATCTTTTGTCTGTAACATAGAGGGAAACAATCTGTCCCTTGTGTGGTTATTGTGAGAAGAGAATGAGCTACAAATATAAAGGTCTGAGACCAGTGCCTAAGACATAATAATCACTCAAGCTATGTTCCCTTCTGCATTCAGGGTATGGAAGAAATAACTGTCTAGAACTCAATCTGGAGTTAAGCTCTGTCCCCTGAATCCTGAGGGGTATGAGGGGTCTGCCTTACGGTTGTGATGAGGATCAAAGCACCTGGTACAATGCCTGGCCAGAAAGTTGAATAATCGAATATAGCTAACGTCACTATTGCAGGCTGGCTATGTGCCTGGTGGTGTTCTTAGCCATTTACAAGTATGAACTCATTTAATCCTCATAAGATCCTGTATGAGGTGAGTAAGCTGTTAATTCCCTTCCTTGCCCATACTCTGTGACTCCAACCCACCACAGTTGAATTTCTCCTTATGAATTATAAATCAGAAAACGGCCCCAAATTCTGTCATGTCTAAGTGGGAAAATGGAAGAAGGCATTGATTTCTCCCCTACTCAAGCAGAAGAGAATTAACCTCAGTCCCTGCTTTGCCCATATTCCTTCCCCAGGGCCCCAGGAAGAAGACATGGAAAAACAATATTTCCACCAAAGTTTATTTCTCTGAAACAATCACCAGTTGCTGTCCTCTATGGCACACTGAGAGCCCCAGGAGGGTCTTTAACTCCCTTCCTCAGATTATATTCATCCCAGAAATATAGCCTTGGACAATAATTTGGTTACAGCATAGTCCCAGGAATGAGGTCCCCCAAGTTGCTAAGTTTTACATAGGGGAGACTGGGAAATTCAAAGAATTGGATGGAGAAACCATAGGATCCAAGATAATGTCAGGGGGTTGAAGATGTTGGAGAGGCATGGTAGCATCATTGAGTTTGAATCTCCTTCTCACTTGGAGTGGAAGTTGTAGGATTCTGCCTCTAGGAAATGTGCCATCCTACAGAATAAATAAAAGGGAGATAATGAGGCTTCAACCCAACTTGCCCCCATCGTTTGTCACTGTAACCATCCCATGCCTTAATACAGTGATACTGAAAACTCCAGGGCACCAACAACTAATACAAAGGAAGCACCTTCAGCCTCCTCTCCACAGACATCCCACTTGGTAGAAGAGGAGGATGCTCCTTCCTGCTCTTAATCCTAGCAATGGCAGCTTAAATCATGCCCTTGCCTAGATCCTCATGGAAGCTCACCCATATAATAATCAAGATTAGTTGAACCCAACACTGACCCCTCTAACCCGCACCCCTACCAAAGGGCAAGTAGGGAAACAGACCAACAGAGATGTTACCTTCTGAATAATTGGACCCAGGAAGAGGAGTGTAACCTAAGAGAGGAAGATACTTGATTATACCAGTCTTTGTGGATGAAAATATCTAGCAGTATTCATAGCAAATGCAGTAGGAAGGAGAGAGTTAATCACAAACAGAAAGTAAGCAGAGAGTGGGACCAAGAGTGGGGATGGGAGTTCAGCGAGTCACTCACTAGAGTGGCCAGCTCTCCGCCAGCTGATCACACCAAGAGAGAAGATGATGAGGCCCAGGCCCAGAGTCACTGCAGACACAGAAACCTTCAGGGTCTGCATGGGGGACAGCCCAGGTGCTGCAAAAAATAGAAACTTACTTGACCCAGTTTCTGTTGCTCACCCCCAGGGCAATTCCATTTATTGCAGCCACCTCTCAGTGGGTTAAAAGGTCCTTTATCCCAGCTCCAAGGGTCTAGCTCACACCACCCACTCCCAAGAAAATGATCTTTCTCAAATCAAACCCTCGTCCCATGGACCTCTACTCCTAGAGTAAGCCTGGGGAACCCATCTCCCCAGAATTAGCATCCTGGCTTCCAGGTCCTCTCTAATACAGTGGGGCCTCTCAAGGCATCCTCTTTCCTTCCTTTACCCCAAAGCCACCCTTATCAGGATAAAGGGCTCCTCACTGTCCTCTCCATTGCCCCCACGGTAACAATGTTTGCTTCCTTACTTTCTCCAACTGAGCAGCTTCCTATTACACTGTCTTACCACATGTCTTAACCTCCAGTGGATCCATCCTGTGAGTTATCCTACTACTTGTGTACCTTCTACATCTAGATCTCCCATGTGTCCTTTCAGAGCTTGTCTCCATCCCACTCCACAGCCCCTGCACTTCCTTGGGCCGGTCCTGTTCTGAATCATGTCCCACTCAGATTCTTTTCCCATGATAAAATGAACACTCCATTTCTAAAGGGAGGCTCTTGTGCACGCTGTGAGGAGACGTTCCCCAGGAAAGTTCAAGTGAGCATGTGATTTCCACTCTCTTCTCTGTTCTCCATTCCCTTCCCAACTGCCCAGCAAGAAACAACACTTCCCACAAGGGGAAACCTGGTTACAGCAGCTGATCTGAGATCCTGTTCTCTGGCCCTTTGTAGACACCCTTCCTCTTCCTCATTTCTTCCTCTTTCTTTTCCAAGAGTCCCCAAAGCTGTGTGCAACTTCTCACGATACCTTTAACTACTCCCGACACTGAGTTCAAACAGTGTTTGAACTGTAAGTAATTCTTTATCCACTGGCCCCTGAGCATGCATGCCAAATGGTCTGCCAGCCGTGGCTTTACTACTCCCGTATGCTTGGTAGAGCAGGCCAAATGCAGTACTGCCCCACACCAAGAAAAGCCCCCCTTCTTCAACCTTCATCATTCCTTCAGCTCCCATCTGCTTCTGGCACCAGAATAGTTGAAATCTAAGGAGGCTAGAATAGTGTATTACAATTTGGGGTTCTGAAAATATGATTGCCAAATTTACAGCCTCATTTCAAAGCAAGCACGCTCCCCTCTCACCCTCAAACATAGACGCAGCAACATCAGCCACACCACCAGAGCAGCAATAGCACAGACTAAATATTAAACTGGTGCAAAAGTAATTGCGGTTTTTGCCACTGAAAGTAATGGCAAAAACTGCAATTACTTTTGCACCAACCTAAATATTTCCATTTCTTTATCCCATTTCCCCATTCTGGTCCTAAGCCCCCCGTAAGTTCCTCCAGACTCAGTCCCCATTTTCAGCACTTCGCTGTCTACCATGTACCATGTATCGATCCACATCTCATTTTCTCTGCTTTGACCCTAATTCCATCCATCTGCCATACACTTACTCCAGTCCCGAAGGATGGGCTCAGGAGCCCCAATGTGCTCTACCACACAGGTGTAAGTGTCCCCGTAAGAGGGGGTTAAGGCTAAATGGGAGAGGGTCTGGTATGTCCAGTCTCCATTGGGCTGGGCAGTCTTGTGCGCACTGCTGTGAGGCATGACAAGCTTCCCGTTCTTCCTCCACGTGATAGTCACTTCTGCTGGATAGAAGCCCCACACATAGCAGGCCAGCATCACAGGCTCCCTCGTGTTAAAAGGAGTGGTTTTGGCTACTTGCACAGATGGTGGCCCTGCATAGGAGAAAAAAACATGTTTAGGAAGGAGGGTGACATTCTGGCTGCTTCCTCAACCTGGTTTCTTCCCTATCGCAACTCTTCGTAGATTTTGCAACCCACTTTCCACCCCAGCCCCCTCTGCCATGCTGCCCCTTGAAGGGGAACCGTTAGAATGTATTCCTGCATTACTCTTTCTTCTCTCCCATTCCTTCATTGCCCCTTTCTTTCTTTCCTCCTCCAGAATTATGTTTGATTACAATTAGTAAAAGCCAGATCTGAACTGCAAGCTGTTCTAGAAGTTGTTGTATTTATTTCAAGTACATAAACTGGAAAGTATTTGAAATAAGGAAGCTAAGAGTAATCCAGAGTTGTACATTGGGTTTTTTTAAGGTGGAAAAGGAATTTTTCTCCAAATCTTGTTTAATACGTTCTTTTGCTAGTTAAAGCTTTTTCTCCTCACATAGTTCAAGGAAACAAGCCTAACTTAGGACTCACTCTTAAATTTGGAATGAATGTAGTCAAACTAATGAGATTGCTAATACTGCCATCTTTTACTAATTTACTCTCCTAGGTGATCCTCTTGCTTGCCTCTATCTTGACATTTTTCAAACACAATCTTAAATAAAAATCCAAGGAATTATGTTAAAATGCAGATTTCCTAGGCTGTATCCCCAGATACTTTCTTTCAACAGATCTGGAGTGGTACTAAGGGGCTTGCATCTTTAACAAGCACCTCCTCCAGGCAATTCTGAGAAAGGTGGTTCAGAAACCACCCTTGAGACACACTGTTCTGTACTGTGGAGATCTTCAAGTTTACTTTCACAAACTTCAAGCCATTGTCAATGCAAGAGTTTAAGGGTGAGAAAAAGCATGTGTCAGAATCCCCTGGGATTCCAAATATTCCCATGCCTGGGCCCACATCAGATCTGGAACATCAAAATCTGGGATAACAAGGCAAGAACATCTTGGGTATGCATCCTGAGATGCCCCAGCCTCTGCATAAGCTCCCCACATGGCACCTCGCGGTTCAAGCCTCACCTCCCCTTCTTTACTCCTGTTCCACTCACGTCAGCCACCTTGTTCCCCTTGAGGTTCAATCCTCCGTCTTTCTACATTTCAGATCCACACATTTTCTCTTATTTGCTGCTCAAATCTCAAACCCCTGGGCCACTGTGGGATCCTCCCTGGCCTGCCCTCCTAACTGCACTTCCTGGTAGCCCCTCTGCACCCCTCTCTCCTCACGTGTCCTGTTGGTCAGTGATCCCCAGAAGGGCTGGGTGTGTGTGGCACAATTCTGAAGCCCATTGCGCAAGCGCTGCATCAGGGTGTCTTTTTGGTTGAGGTGCTGTGAGAGGACATTCGCCAAGCTATTCAGCACCCCAAATTCGCAAGGGGCCATCTTATTCTCCTCTGGATCCCAGCAGGTCAGCAGATCCTTGTTGAAGGAGATGCAGTATGTGAAATCCTTTGGAGTCCCAGCATCATCCAACAGACAGGTGCTTTCCACATGGGCCACGAAGCCACCTAGAGGAGCCAGGGAAGGGAGAACAGGTCAATGTCTTCTACTGGCCTGGCAATAAATAAATAAATATATAAATAATAAATATACACAAATAATAAATATATAAAACATACAGACGTATATTTAGGAGCTCTGCACAGAGCTTTGTCTTTGACCCTGGTTCCTGACATAGAGTGCCTAATCGCTTAGAATTTCCTAGATAACAGGAGTGTCTTTTGTTCTAATGAGGTACTCTTGGTGGGCTCCTGCAGGAGGGGCTGGTCACCAGAAAGACCAAGTCATGATTAGAAGTCTGGAACTTTTAGTCCCATCCCCCATACTCCCTGAAGGGGAAGGGGCTGGAGATTGAGTTAATAATCAGTCATGCCTACATGATGAAGCCTCCATAAAAATCCCGGAACTATGGAGTTCAGAGAACTTCTCAGTTGGTAAACACATCCACATGCCAGGAGGTGAAGTACCCCAATTCTGTGGGGACAGAGCTCCTGTGATTGGGACCCTTCCAGATCTGGTATCTCTTCATCTGGATGTTCCTTTGTATGCTTTAAAATATCCTTTGTTAAAGGATGCAAAATTATGATCTAGTGTTCTATACCACTGTGGGATGACTGTCATTAACAATAATACTTTATATCATTTCAAATCGCTAGAAGAAGGATATGGAATGTTTCCAACACAAAGAAATGATAAATGAGATGATGATCTGATCTGATCACTGTACATTACATGTACTAAAACATCATTATCCACCCCATGAATATTTATAATTATTATTATCAATTAAAATATCCTTTGTAAAAAATCTACAATAATAAGTAAACTTTTCCTGAGTTCCATAAGCCACTTTAGCAAATTACCAACCCCAAGGAGGGGGTCATGGGAACCTCTGATTTGTAGGCAAGTTGGACAGAAGATGTGGGTAATTTGGGAACCTACTACTTGTGATTGGTGTCTGAAATGGAGGCAGTCTTATGGGACTGAGTCTTTAACCTTTGGTGTCTATGTTAACTCTAGTTAATGTCACAATGGAATTGAATTATAGGATATCCAGCTAATATAGGAGAATTGGTTGGTATGAGTAAAAAAAAAAAAAAAACCTCACACAGTTGGTCAAAGAAGTGTTGAGTGTGAGCATATAGAAGAAAAAAAGTTGATTTTTCCTATATTCAGCTCAGAACCTAAGCCTTGGTGACATCCAGCTAGTCTGGCACAGATTTCCTGCTCAGGGAACATCTACTGACCAAGCTCATACACTGAAGTTTCTGAAAGTCTGATTTGAGGGAGTCAGTAGAAGTAGTAGATAAGTTTTTAGATCCAGTCTCCTCTTTATGCAAGACTAAGCACAGGGATAGGAGTAGCCCCCCGAGATTATTTGCATGTTTAAACATGACAATTTGCCCAGAACACAGACCTTCAGTAAGGCAAATTATTGAGAGAGAAAAAGGGTCAAGAGAAAGAGTCAGCCTTGTATTGTGCTGGAAATATTAAATATTCACTTCGCACATATTTATGAAGCACTTGCTGCATGCAAGGCACTGTGCTAGGAGCTGAGGAGGCAGCAATAAATAAGATGAACATTGTCCTTGCCTATATTCCAGCAGGGAATATACACTGCACAGATAATTATACAGATTAATTACATTAAAATTGCTACAAAGTACAAAGTGCTATAGGAATGTATACCAGGGAGACAAACTATCTGGGGTGTCAAATGCAATTACAAAACGGAACACCCTTACCCTGAAACAGGAGCAGGGGAAGGGAGAGTCCCCAGAAGAAGTGTCCTTACCTGCTCCTGTGCAGCCCAGGCTGAGCCCCAGCAGCAGCGGCAGGAATGTGATCATGCTCTGCTCTGTAAAGATGCCGGGAGTTCAGTCCCCTGGACCAGCTCTTCCAGGGTCCGTGGGTCCTCGCCTGTCCCAGAAGCCCCAGCCTGGGTAGATGATCTCCAGACACTGAGCAGAATACTATATTGCCCGGGTCCCTTGACCCCCCAAATGAGTGATGTGGGGATACCCAGCCCCTAGATATTAAATCTGTTCCTTCCAGCTCACGGGAGTCCAGTGTCCCAAACAGGGACAGATTGGCTAGGTAGGCAGGGACAAATGTAGAGACAAATCACTGAGTGCCTCAGCCTAGCATCATCAGTTACTAGGTAAACGTCATCCTGCCTTAGTCTTAGACAACAGGTCTCCTTGTCTCTCTTAATTCTTTTTCTGCAGAACAACCAGTAGATTTCCGTAGATTACTGGAGAGAATAATCGCAATATTCCCAGGATGTATGCAGCCTGGGCTGCCCACTGGTTTAACTTTTTCTTCTCAATGCTCTCCCAAAAGACCAGGACCAGATAACCTCTCCTATTCCTTACAGGGAGGTTACCCAAGAAGATAATTACAAAAACCCTTGTCTGTCCTGAGATGAGAGGACCCAGAGCCCTTCTGGGGCAGGTGGCAGAGGCAGGGCTGCTGAGAAGGAAGAAGGCACAGACAGAGTACAGAATTGTCTGGTCTCAAAGCAAGACTGCAGAATAAGGGAAGCAGCGCCACCATGGAGATCAGGAATAGGGGCCTGGAAAATCCCTCCATGGGCCTCCATTGTTGCTTCTGTTCTAGCCAGTCAAGCTTCATTTCCTCCTCAGTTATAATAGCTGCTTTCCGGAGCTAGTAAACCATATCCTCCTACACTCTGAGCAATCTCACGGGGTAGACCGCAGGTTAACACCTCTCAGACTCCTTGAAAAATAGCTGGTGACGGGTCAGTGCCCAGAGCTCACCTGCCTTTCGCCAAACTCTAAACACCCCTGTGTGTTTCCCCTACTATACCCTGTTCCCTGGGGGCAGGTCCCTGCATTATGAAGCCACTAGGAAAATGAGATAAAGCTTTCCTACTTTTCTTCCCCTGAAAAGACAGATTTTGTTTTTTATTTTTTGAGAATACCAAGTAAGATTTTATTTTTTATTTATTTTAAATTATTTTAACCTTTGTTTTAGGTTCAAGGGTACACATGCAGGTTTGTTATATAGGTAAATTGTGTGTCATCGGGATTTGGCGTAAAAATTTATTTCATCACCCAGGTAATAAGTATAGTATCTGATAGGTAGTGTTTTGATCCTCTCCCTCCTCCCATCCTCCACCCTCAAGTAGGGCCCAGTGTCTATTATTCCCTTTTTTGTGTCCATGTGTACTCAATGTTTAGCTCCCACTTATAAAAGTGAGAACATGCAGTATTTCATTTTCTGCTCCTGTGTTAGTTTGCCTAGGATAACAGCCCCCAGCTCCATCCATGATGCTGCAAAAGACGTGATCTCGTCCTTTTTTGTCTGTGGAGTATTCCATGGTGTATATGTACCACATTTTCTTTATACAGTCTACTGTTGGTGGGCATTTAGGCTGATTCCATGTCTTTGCTATTATGAATACTGCTGCAGTGAGCATTCATGTGCATGTGTCCTTATGGTAGAACAATGTATACTCCTTTGGGTATATGCCTAATAATGGGATTCCTGGGACGAATGGTAGCTCTGTTTTAAGGTTCTTGAGAAATTGCCAAACTGCTTTCCTCAATGGCTGAACTAATTTATGTTCCCACCAGCAGTGTATAAGCCTTCCGTTTTCTCTGCAACCTCTCCAACATTTGTTATTTTTTGACTTTTTAATAATAGCCATTCTGACTGGTGTGAGACGGTATCTCATTATGATTTTGATTTGCATTTTTCTAATCATTAGTAATGTTGAACATTTTTTCATATGCTTCTTGGTCACGTGTGTGTCTTGAAAAGGCAGATTTTATGTATTTGCGTATTTATTTTTTTCACAGGTTTTTTTTTTGAAAGTCTCACTCTGTCGCCTAGGCTGGAGTACAGTGGGATAATCTCGGCTCACTGCAATCTTCGCCTCCTGGGTTCAAATGACTCTCATGCCTCAGCCACTTGAGTAGCTGGGGTTACAGTCATGTGCCACCACTCCTGGTTAGTTTTTGTCTTTTTTTTTTTTTTGGTAGAGACAGGGTTTCATCATGTTGGCCAGGCTGTTCTTGAACTCCTGACCTCAAGTGATCCACCCACCTCAGCCTCCTAAAGTGCTAGGATTACAGGCATGAGCCATCGTGCCTGGCCTGAAAAAGCAGATTTTAAACGGCAATTCATTCTTCTATCCCATTGTGAACTATACAGTTGATGGATTTTCCATCACTAACTTGAAACTCTAAATTGGCTTCCTTCTGCTCCCCAGTAGGTTTCAGGGCTGCCTCTTCACATCTTAGTTTCTGAGAACTCTTGGATTTTATTAAATAGTGAGCTAAACAAAAGAGGATTGTGGAAGGGGCCCCTTGACACCACACTTACCTGCCCTCCCTCAAAGTCCCTGATCTCAGGAAAATCTAACACCTATGAAGAAAATGGGGATAAAAAATGCATACAAAGATTATTACCAAAAACGAAAGATTCGTTGTGTAACTAATTGAGATTAACTGAAGCTCTGCCATAGCTCCCAGCCACTGCCCCCACTCACCTTGCTTATATACTCTAACTCTGCTAACGAACTGTCAAGTGTGTTGGAATGGGCAGAATATGGGGTGGGGAGTGCATAATCTGTAGAGCTTCTACAGATACAGTGCTAGGTAGGTCCTTTCTATAATATCTCATCTCATCTTAAAAGACTTGTTGGCCGGGCATGGTGGCTCACGCTTGTAATCCCAGCACTTTGGGAGGCTGAGGAAGGCATATCACCTGAGGTCAGGAGTTTGAGACCAGCCTGGCAAACATGGTGAAACCCCGTCTCTACAAAAAATACAAAAATTAGCTGGGTGTGGTGGCGCGTGCCTGTAATCCCAGCTACTCTGGAGGCTGAGGCAGGAGAATCGATTGAACCTGGGAGGTGGAGGTTGCAGTGAGCCGAGATCGTGCCACTGCACTCCAGCCTGGGTGACAGAATGAGACTGTCTCAAAAAAAAAAAAAAAAAAAAAAAAACTTGTTAATTGTCCTCATTTCCCAGGTTGGAAAACAGGTCCAAAGATTCACACCCAAGGTCTAAAGGCTGTAACTCCTCTTCTTATACAGCTGTTACACATGCACATGTGTACACACACACACACATACACACTCTCTTGAGCATGCCCACACACTCACTACATCTTGGAACTGGGATGGCTCAAATAAAGGGAGTTAGTGAGGCCTCCGCTGAGAAAGAGAGAAAGAGAAGAGTCACAATCCATAACCCAATTCACCCAAGTCTTATCTTTCCTGTCCTCAGAGTTCCTTCTGCTCTGAGAACCACCGTCCCTTCCACTTTCTCTTTTGACAAGTTTCAAAACTGAATTTTCCCCCACACCCCCCCAATACATTTCCCCCTCACATTCCTCCCCATCCTGCCCAGGTAAGCTGTTAGCCTAACCTTATAGGAACCAAGTCCTGGGATCCTTTTCAATGTCTACAAAGCCTAGCCCTGGCAAGGGAGCACTGGCTGTGTGGTCCTGTGCCAGCACTGAACATGGCCCTAGCCAGTAACAGTGGGGCTGAATGTAGTTCCCTCTTATGTCTAGATCTCTGCTCCGGCAGTCAAAGGAGATGTGAAACCTTCTGTGAGGCCACAACAGGAAATGGTAGGAGAGGATTTCACTTCTCTATTAATTCAAACACTGAGGGAGCTTTTTAGAATAAAGAAGGACAGAAAACCCAGACACCTGTGCTCAGCAGTGTTTTCCTTCCTCTCCTCCTCCCAACCCTTCCATTTTTACAGATATAGCTCTGTCTTTCCACCTCTAGCCAATTCAAAATAACATTTCAGTTGCTCTGTCCATTGTTACTTATTTGTTAATTATTGATATAGCACCGGGACCGAAGAGGTATGGAGCCCCAACCAGGTTCCCACATGTTGCCTTTCTTTTATTGCCTCTACACAACCACCCAAAGAGTGAGTCCTCTCCTTTCCCATTGCCTCTGCCCTTAGCCTGACCACCACATGCCTGCAGTAAACTAGTCCCAGGGTTTGTGTGCAAAGCATTACTGGGAAAATACAGAGTGAGAAGATATGGATTCTGCCCCCATATCGCTTTGCTTGTACGTCAATTGGGGAGTGAGAACAAACACTTTAAATAGTTTATATTAAAGTAAGTAAGCAATAAGGCCAGTGGTCTTAAAAGAGAAGAGAGAAATCACCATGGACATGGTAGACAGGGAGTACTCTCAGTCGAGAGGGCCTGGAATGAGCCTTGAATACTGGGCTGGATTTGTGTTGGAGAGGAGGAAGGCAGTTGGCATTGTAGGTCTGGTGTATAGCTCCACAAGCTTGACAATGCTGTGAGGTGCCATCAGGGAGGAGGTGTCCTACGAGAGCCTGGGTTAGCTAAAACAAAGACAAGCTACAATAACGTCACTGGCACTGCACGTTGGAGGAAGTCACAAATGTGATTTCTTGTTTTTTTCTGAGAGTATGGCCATAATAATAAATCTCTTCTAGGCACTTCCTAAAGTTGCTCCATGTCAGTTCGCAGGTTCTTGGGGCAGACGGTTTTAACTGAAGTCTCCATTTTATAAACACAAAATTGCTCAACCAGTTAATCACGCCTCATAGCATAAGACCACATTCGTGACTTCAGTGTCTTTTCAAAACTACACACACCTACATCCTGCCAAGATTATATTACTTGCCCAATCTGTCCAATCCCCACCCCACCCCTGCCATCTACCCCTTACCTCACCTCCGCCCACACACACACCCTCCTACCCTGTCAGGATTCACTGCTCTAGACCCTGACCTTTGGATTATAGTTTCTGTAGTCAGTTCACCATCCTTCCAACCTACAGTCAAATTATTTGAACTACTAGGGATAGTCTATCTGATTTGCCACAACTATTTTTCCTTTTTTAATTTTATTTTTTGCCACCACAACTATTGAAGAATGCTATCTTCATCTTACCCACGAGAAAATGGAGGCAGAGGGAGGTTAAGTGGTTGCCCAGATTTACCCAGATACTAAGTAATAAAACCATTACTTGAACTCAGGATTTATTACTTTAAATCCTGTATTGCCAATAATCAATTGGAAAATAACTGAAAATTGCCTACTATTTATAATAACAATAAAAACCATAGCATATTTATGAATTAACATATCAAATATAAGAATTTTAAGAAAAAAGAAAACTTTATTGAAGTGCACAAAGACCTGAGAGGTGTAGAGATATACCATATTCATGGATAGGCCATGCTAACATAATGACAACCTCTCCCCACATCTCTAACCTAAATGCTACCCCAATTAAAGTAACAGTAGGATTTCAGGAGAATTTAACAAACTGATTATAGAATGTACATGGAAATAAAGTCCAAGAGTATCTTAGAATATTTTGATAAAGAAAAGGAAAATAAATTTTTTGGGAAGGTGGTGAAGGAATGGAGACTAGTTCTACTAAATAGTAACACATATTAAAAAGCCAAAATAATCAAACAATATGATACTGATTAGTAATGAGAGAAAAGCAAATTAAAACAACAAAATACCACTCTACACCCACCATGTTGCCAACATTTGAAAGTCAAATAATTACAAGCATTAGTGAGCATAAAGGGAAATGTGAACTATCTTGCTCTGTTGATGGGAGTGTAAACTGTTTATGATCCCTGAATTATAGAAATTATAAACTAGTTGGGCGAAAAAATTAACATAGGAAATAAAGCGGCATATCCCAATCCTTAGGTTGAGTGCTTTAAGTCTTGGAAGATTTCAATAAAGAGAAATTAGGGGCAGGTTCATGGAATAAGTTGAACTGGAGTTGGACCTATGGAGTGGGTTAAGACAGGAACAAGATGAGCAGAATAAAGAAAGCATTCTTGTGAGAGGAAAGAGCCTGGGCAAATGCCCTAAACCAAAACCAGATATAATACCTCAAGGAAGAGTGAGGAAAAAAGATTTATTCAAGAATAGCATTCCTGCTGGGAATAGTGAGTAATATTTTTTATTAGAAAAGGGGCACCAGACTAGAGAGGATACTGAGTGCTTCTAGAGTACTTAAGTAACAGTATCATAGAAGGTTTCATCAGAGAGCATCTAATCTAAGCCCATCATTTTACAGATGAAGACTTTGAGGCCCAGAGAGGGGAAGTGACTTGTCTAAAGTCACACAGCATAATAAAGCACTTTTAAGTCTTGCCTGACAGGAAATATCTAGATAAGTTGGAAAACAGAGAGACAGAGAAATTAGGAAGAACTAGAAAGCACCACATCTAGAATTACTAACATGAGAATAAAAAGAAAAACATCTAAAATGGAGAAAATACAATACTTGAAGCTAGTATTGAGGTATATTTCAGAAAAGAGAAAGAAGTCTACGAGGCAACTAAGTTCTCCTCTGAAGATCAAGACCAATAATGATAAGGTTAGGTTATTCAGCACATTTTCTATGTGCCAAACACTATTTTAAGCATTCTGTAGGTATTAACTTATTTAAGCTTCACAGCATGAGGATATGCTGCCTTATTTCCTATATTAACTTTTTCACTCAACTAGTTCATAATTTCTGTAATTCGGGCATCATAAACAGTTTACATTCCCACCAACAGACCAAGATATTACAGTTCACATTTTCCTTTATCCTCGCTAATACTTATTTGACTTTCAAATGTTGGCAACATGGTGGGTGTAGAGTGGTAAGGGGGACACCATTGTTATCATCATCCTTTTACAGAAAATGACACCAAAGCACAAGTTAAGTAACTTGCCCAAGGGCTCACAGCTAAACGCTGACAGTTACGATTGAATCCCCAGCAGTCAGGTTCCAGAGCCCATGCTTCTTAACCGGTACACATGATGCTGTTAGAAATGAGATGGTTCAGAGACAGTGCAACTTCTCTTAGGGAGAATTTAATATTTTCTTTTAGATTAGACTCTAGTACAATGCCAAGAACAGAAACTCCCTCACCAAATAATTGCCCTCTCAACTTTATTGCCACCCTGTCATCCAAAGCAACTCCCAGACCCTAAGGAATGCAAGAAAGAAAGCATATGCAAAGCAATTTACCACCAGTGGTCATGTGCTGCCACCTTTCGTTATCTTCCCAGGACAGCACCTGTGCAGTTCTCCTTGGACAGTTCACTCAGGCCAAGGAACAGATTGTCAGGAAAGACATGTGAATTCTTTGCCCTTCCAGGCTGTTTTCACTTCATGTTAGGGGCTTCATGATACTGTTTTCCCAGAACTGACATAACTGATTGGTATAGCACTTGGGAGCTTATTCTTCCCATCCCTGAGCTTCTGTTTCTCAGTTACGGTGAGGGTTGAAGGGAGTTATATGTTCCTCAGGGCAGCCTATACGAGACATAAACATTTTCACAAACAGTAAAATACACAACACACACACACACGCACAAAACACACAAGCAGCTTCCTTAACCATTTTGTAAGCAGATTATTAGAAAATAACTCTGCCTTCGTTTCTCACATATTTTGCACAAACCGATAGATGGAAAAACATCATGTACCGCCAAGACCAGGGAATAAGAGCTCAGCTGGCAAATTAGGGGTTTTCCCTATTTCCCTCCCTAACGAGGTCAAGCTGTGTTCAGGTTAAGGCATGCTGAATTTGAAACGACAACCCACTCAAGTTGAGATATCCAGAAACAAATACCATGAGTTAAGAAAGAAGCCACACTGATATAAAGAAATGAGATTTATTGCCTTGTGGGGGGAAGGGATGTGGTTGTGATAGGCAGGCCACTCTGGGATCCCTGGGATGCAAGCCCAGGGACAGCAGAGTCCCCAGGTGGGAAATCTACACACACACCCCAGGGATGTCCCAGAGACTTCTTCTACCCTAAGAGGAGATCCTGGGCAGGATGTGAGAAATCTGAGCATCCTCTGTTTGGATGGCCGAAGCTGCTGGCATCAAACTCTGGTCTGGAAGAATCAGTCTGGGGGAGAGACAGGGATGGAGGAAAGGCATCAGGGGATCCATCCTCCTCCTTCTTCTCCTCCTCCTCCTCCCCCACAAAGGCCTTGCTCGCCCTGCCTGCACCACACCCTGCAGAAGTTGATCTCTCCTTGTTCCCAAATCATCTCCAAGCACCCTTCCTACAGCACCCCATGATTCCTTTTTTCACTCAAAGCAATTCTTGTGACCCATAACTGTGTGTGTGTAACTGGGTCCCCAACTGGGAAGATGTGCCCCCATGGTGCTGGATACAGGCCCCCACACCCAAGGGCCTGAGGATCGCTATATGTCCCCCCATGCCACAAAATAATCCTGACACATGCACGCATGCACCACTGTATCTGGCTCCCACAGGCTCACCCGCCCCCTCCAGATGACATACCACCTGAGCAAGGCTTCCGGAAGTAGATGATGAGAACAATGCCCACGATGATGCCCAGCACACCCAGGCCAAAGGCCACGCCACACAGCACATTCTCCAGCAGATCTGAGGGCAGTGCGTTCCGGGGTACTGGAGGAAATGAGTGGCTCAGCCTGGGGACCTAGTTAGGGAGCCTCCCACCCAGGGAAATGACGTGGGTGTCTGGGATGACATGGGAGACTGGGATGGGCTTAGGGTAGGAATGGACTAAACAAGGTACCAGTGGAGAAAGAAGCCTCCTCCCATGGATCTATCCCTTTTTGCCCCCAAAAGGACCAGAATTCCAGGGAGAAAGCCTCACCCCAATAGGCAATTGCTGTGTAGCGGTCAATTTCGTGAGTCACAATGCAGGAGAAAATGTCAGAAGGTTCTGGTGTGAAGTTTAAGTAAGAAAAGGCCTGGAAGCTGAGTCCATCGACAGCTGAGACAAAAGTAGGCCCAAATCCTTCCACAGGGATGGAATGATGCTGCCAGTTCACTGTCAGCATGGGTGGGAAGAGATTACTGACAAAACAGACCAAAGTGTTGGGCTTGCCAAACTCCAGGGGCTTCAGCGTGAACACTTCAGCGATAGGAAACCCTGGTGGGGGGATTGAAGTGTAGGGGGAAAAAGAGACTAGTTTAGATGGTATCTCTGTGTTTGGAGGGGCCATGGCATATGGAGGGGAGGGCAGAGAAGAACACAGTGGGTCAGGCTTTGGGAGACAGAGATGAGCGAGGAGCTGGGCTCTGAAGGGAGGTCTTCTTCCAGGCAAGGACTGCAGCTAGACGTAGAAGCAGAGCCAGATCCAGGCTACTCTGGACCCCTCCACCATGACTTCCTTCAGCACTTCCTGTCTAGAGCTCACATTGATGTCTAACCATGCACTGTCTTCTCACTAAGACATAGTCACGTCATCAGATATTTCCACTCTTCCCATCCATCTTGCTGGGCATAGTAGCACAAGTGTTAATATTCAGTAGGTATCAGTTGGTACCTGTTGAATTCATCACATTCAATACATAGTTCTGAATGCCTACTACATGCTAGGTACTTCGGCCCACCAAAAGAACACAGGGTGCAGACCAAGGCTGGTGGAAAAATTAAGGTGATGAAGAGAACCAGAAAGTATTTGAGATGGGGAGCTGGTATCAAGGGGAATTATTCAGTGTACAGATCAATGAGGTTAATGCAGCCCTCCTCCCTTCACTCCCCAGAAAACTCCTGACCTCTGGACACCGGGATTTTCCCATCAAGTTTTGGCCCTATTTGCTGGATCATCCACTCGCAGAACTCTTTGTCAAATAAAATGGCAGGAGCATCTCCCTGTTCCTGAGCCCAGTCAGCAAATTCGGGCAGGCGAGGCACCCGAGTGTTCTGGGAAAAGTCGAAGAAGAAAAGCTGGTCCTCGTCGTAGGCCTCAGAGAGTCCCACACTGGGACTCCCATCCTGGCAGTACACTGTGTGCAGGAATGTGTGGTTTTGCAGGTCATCTGGCCACATTGGAGTAGGAGCTGCAAAGGACACAGGGTGAGGTTCAGGGAGGTGGGAGCCTTCTCCTCCAACTTAAAAAACAGCAAGGTGGGGCTAGGCGCAGTGGCTCATGCCTGTAATCCCAGCACTTTGGGAGGCCAAGGTGGGTGGATCATGAGGTCAGGAGTTTGAGACCAGCCTGGCCAGCATGGTGAAACTCCATCTCTACTAAAAATACAAAAAAGTAGCTGGGCATGTTGGCATGCGCCTGTAGCTACTCGGGAGGCTGAGGGAGGAGAATTGCTTGAACCAGGGAGGCAGAGGTTGCCGGGAGCTAAGATTAAGCCACTGCACTCCAGCCTGGGTGACAGAGTGAGACTCTGTCTCAAAACAAAACAACAAAAACAAGCAAGGCCTGCTTAAGGAGCGTGGGCTGAGGTGAGACCCTTTCCTGTGTCTGTTATTTAGACTCCCCCTCCCAAAGGGGGTGAAGAACAAATTATGGCATCTCTCCAAGCTTCCCCTGCCTATAAAAAGGCCAGTTGGCAAAAGTAAAGAGTTCTACTTTCTAAAGTGACAGATTCAGGCCAGGCATGGTGGCTCATGCCTGTAATCCCAGCACTTTGGGAGGCTGAGGCAGGCAGATTGCTTGAGCCCAGGAGTTCAAGACCAACCTGGGCAACACAGCGAGACCCTGTCTCTACAAAAAATACAAAAACTTAGCCAGGTGTGGTGGCAAACACCTGTGGTCTCAGCTACTCTGGAGGCTGAGGCAGGAGGATTGCTTGTGCCTAGGAAGTTGGGGCTGCAGTGAGCCATGATTGTGCCACTGGACTCCAGCCCAGGTGACAGAATGAGCCCGTCTCAAAAAATATATATATAAAGGCCGGGCGCGGTGGCTCAAGCTTGTAATCCCAGCACTTTGGGAGGCCAAGGCGGGTGGATCACCTGAGGTCAGGAGTTTGAGACCAGCCTGGCAAACATGATGAAACCCCATCTCTACTAAAAATACAAAAATCAGCTGGGTGTGGTGGCATGCGCCTGTAATCCCAGCTACTTGGGAGGCTGAGGCAGGAGAGTCTCTTGAACCCCAGAGGCAGGGGTTGCAGGGAGCCGAGATCACGTCACTGCACTCTAGCCTGGGTGACAGAGCGAGATGCCGTGTCAAAAAAAATAAATTAAATCAAATAAAAAATTTAAAAATGTATATATATAAAATAAAGTGACAGATTCAGAGTCACTGTTCATTGTGTGTTTGGGGGCTGCACAAAGACACCTAGCCAAAGAAGCAAGTGAAAGCCTGCATTCTGCTCACCATGCCATACATCCTGGCATAGGGCTGTATCCTCCCAAAGGGGATTCCTTTGTCTAATTCATACCAGGCCACTGTATTGACTAGAGAAGGCCATGGATGGGTTTCTCACTCTTAGAAGGGAAAGAGGAGGAATGGCTACAGCCTCCCCAAGCCATAGATGGGACTGCCTCCCACTATCCCCAGACACAAATGGTAAATTGGAAAACCTGTATCCAGACATTTCTTCAGCCACTTCATTGGCACCAAGCGTCTCTCAAAATGTCTTCTGTTCCTTAACCTACCAGGCCTCCCAAAGACAGCAATGGGAGAAGTGACCCCATAACTGCATAAAATAATCCCTCTTCTTTGAAGCTCTTGGCAGGAATCGCTCAGCCAGCAGGAAACCTTTAACCCAATACCCAGAAAAACAGACATTTGGAGGAAGAGGGATCTTCCAGATTATTCTTCCATTCTGCCCCATCCTCTACAGAGAAGGAAACTAAGACACTTTTCAAGAATCACAAGATAAGTTAATGATAGAAAGCAGAGTAGAATCTTGAGTGGAGGAGTGAAAATAACATTCACTTTGTTCAAATCCCAGCTCTACCACTTTCCAATGGTGTGAACTTGCACAAATAACTCTGAGTCTCATTTTCTTCATTTGTAAAATGGAGAGAACAATCTCCGCTTCAAGAGATTGTCTTAAATGGAACATGCAAAGCATCACTGATATCGTTTACCAACCACACATAGCAGCTGTCTTTCCCCACTCCCCTGTTGTTTCCACTGCCTCATAAGACTTCCCACCACTCACAAAGCACAGCGCTTTTCCTCACAAAGCTGAGTGGGCTCCCTAGGTTCAGGATGGAAGTAAATAGGAGTACCATCTTACCTTCAGGGACGGCCCAGGAGTGGGGTAGCAGCCACAGAAGTGGTAACATCTGTAGCAGCGCAGCTCCTTGGTTCTGTTCATGACCCATACCTTCTTGCCACACAGTAGGTAGGAGCTACCAACCCAGCCAACCCAGCTTCCCCAACTCCCTCCCCGAGAGGGTGGCCTTAGATCATGTTTTGCCAGATCATTTCCAATAGGTGCCCTTGTCATTTTGTCTAAACCAATCAGAGAAGCGTAGGGTTTAACATCATCAGTCACTGGGGAGACGCCTGGGGCCAGTAACCTCCTGAAGACTTGGCTGTTTGACCAGGGCAGAGTATGGCATGTAACTGGGCTGGGAAGCCCAGTGGAGGAATGTTGCTTCCTGGTGGAGTTCCCTCTTTGGTTTCAAGCTGTCAGCCTCAGTCTGTAAGCGACCAGCTGGCTCTTCAGAGCAGTGCCACCTCCTGGCAGAATGCTGCAATGGGGAACCGCATCTTCCCCAAGTAAACCCCCAGGGCTCTTCGGACCCTGCCTTCTCCTCCCTCCTGGCTCTTCCTCTTTCTCAAAAAAACTTATTCTCCTTCAGGCATTAGCTCTAATTCATTTGGCAGACATATATTGAAAATACAAGAAATTCTGGGTGTTGGGCCCAGGGCTAGAAATACAAAGATGAATAGGCATAGTCTGCCTTCAAAGAGCTTAGAGTCTAGTGCTGGGGGAGGGGGCCAAGGGATAATTACACAACAATGTAATGTATTCAAATAAGAATGTGCCAAGTGTTTTGGAAGTCGCAGTAATTTTATGAGGATGCGGAATAGGAGGAACATAATCAGGCAGGCTCCTAAGACTTGAAGGAAAAACAATTTGGCCAGCAGAACATGAAGGAAGAGAAAAACACGCCAGGGCAAAGGGTAGGCAGAAGTACAAAGATCACAGGCATCCAGAGGTCCTCTTTGGAGACCCTGTGTACTAGTTGATATGAATGTTGTGAAGGTCGCTTGGGTGTTCCTGTATAATAGGAGGTAATGGGGGGTAGAAGGATGTTGTGATAAGCTACAAATTCGGGCAAGGGCCAGATCACGTGGGCCCTGCTACGCCACAAGGAGGAGCTTGCTTTTACTTAGCAGATGATAGAGATATTAAAACTGGGGAATGACAATCATTTTAGCATTTTGGAAAAAATGTTCTGATTGATATTTCAAACAATGAACTGGAGCTTTTAAAGAATTGAGGCAAAACTGCTGGGCAAGAGTCTATAGCATACCAAGATGAACAGTTGCACATATACACACCACTCCTGTAGCAATACAGCAATAATTTAAATGACAGATAATAAGAGCCTGAATTAAGTCATAATAAGAGGAGGCGGAGGAGATAGAATATCAAGATAATTAGGAAGTAGAATCTAAAGGGTTTGGCTACTGATTAGCTGTGGGAGTGGGAAGGTGGAGGAGTCAAAGATATCTCAGATTTCCAGCATGGGTGGCTGGGTGGGTGGTCAGGGATGGACTGAATTGAAGCAGAAAAGAATGCCATGGGAGCAGGTTTACAGAGAGAAAGAGCTTGATTTTGTACATGTTGAATTTGAAATGCCAGTGGAACAGCCAGCTGAAACTGCATGGGAGCGCAGTGAGGCGTGTGGGTATGGACCCCAGGTATGGTCTGAAGACCCTGATTTGAGAGTCATCAGCACAAATGTCGAAGCAGAGGCCATGAATAAGATCACCCAAGTAAACTGTGCAGAAGGAATGGGAAGTGAAACAAGGACAAAAGCATGCATGGGCTCAAACCCCAAACCTCATACCAGTTATCCAGGATCCAGTCAGGAGCATTTAACTACTTTATGTGCTTCAGACTGAAAGAATTTAATATAGAGAATTGGTTACAAAGGTGTTAAAAGGGCAAGAAGTACAAAAAAAAAAAAAAAAAAGGAGAGTCCTAGAAATGTACATTTTAAAAAAAGATTGCTATCTGGAAATCAGAAGCTGCCATCATCCCTGAGCTGGAATCTGTAAATCTACTCATTGCCTTGTGAGAGACACTGTCATAGTCAGTTCCAATCTACTAGAAAGGTGCCACCTCCTTCAAGGCTAGAATCCTTGAGAAGGTACTTCTGCTCAGGAGGCTGGAGTCCTGAGTCTCCCATTCTTCCTGCTGCTACAGCTACAGCCAATAGCTACCAGCTATTGCCAGCCACCGACACTGTTTAGAGGCTGAAGCAGGATGCTTCTCAGTTTCTCTTGCCTTCTGATCTCCCATCAGTGCCTCCTACTGGCAGAATCAAAAAGGAAGCCAGATGTCCAGGAAGGCTGGGAAATACACACCTGGCTGACTCCTAAGCTAAGCAGTTCAAAACACAGTAGAGGAGGGTGTGTGTGTCACTGAGACAAAGATAATAACGAGTACACTGAAATACCCTGGTTTGTAAGAATCTGGTGGCACGAGGACCATCCAGAGCACTAAGAAAAGACCAAGGTAGAAGCAGATCAGAGAAATAAAAAAGAGGTGTGCCATGAAGGAGGGCAAGGTCAGCATTTTTAAATGCTACTCAAAAGTCAAGAAAGGATTGAAAAGTGTCCTTAGATTTGGTGATTATGAGATGGCTGACAAATTTATTGAGAGCAGTTTCAGTGTTGTAGTGGGAGTCAACTCCAGATTGTGGTGGGCTGAGAAGTAAGTGGGAGGTGAGGAAGAAACTGTCAGTGTACATGCTTCAAGTTTGTTAGACAAAAGAAAGAGAAAGACAGAAGGGGTGGGGGAAGAGGCAGTGAGAAAGCTCTAATGTGGCAATCAAGTAATCTGAGAAATTAATATATGTGAATATTGTCCAACAGTGTTTCTGAGGCTTTCAAAATTCATACCTTCCACCTTTTTTTTTTTTTTTTAAGACAAAGTTTCCCCTGTTGCCCAGACTGGAGTGCAGTGGCTACTTACAGGTGCAATCATAACTCACTCCAGTCTTGAACCCCCGAGTTCAAGCGATCCTCCCGCCTCAGTAGCTGGGGACTATAGGCACATGCCACTGTGCCTGGCTTCATATCCTCTTTTGATAAACAAGTAATAGCAGCAGTAATAGCCAAAAACAAAAACAACTCTATGACCTCCTAGATATTCTGGAACAGCAATGTGTATATATGTGTGTGTGTCTGTGTGGTGGAGGCAGGGTGCCAGGGAAGGACTAGGGTTTGGAAATCATGGTAACCCTCCAGAAAACAAAAGAACATTTCCCAGTATCCCAACATTTATGCACTAACCCATCAGCGGTTCTGGCAGTGGGGAGATTCAGGCCCCTGGACAGTAGAAAAGAAGTTTATGAGACTACCAGTGGGGAGACATATGGGACACAGCCATCTAGAGTCCTAAACCAGGGGTTAGCAAACTTTTTCTGTAAAGGGCCAGATGGCAAATATTTTAGACATTGTGGGCTATCAGATCTCTGTCATGAGTACTCAACTGTGGCACGAAAGCCTCCATGCACAATATGTAAATGAAGGAGAGTGGCTGTGTTCCTAGTTTCCTCCTAGCTTTTCCTCCCACTTCTTGAGCATCTCCTTCTCAGTCTCCTTCATAGACTCCTTCCTTTCAGCTACTCTTTAAATACTGGTGTTCCCTGGAGTTTTTGTCCTCAACCCTCTTTTTATTTATGGACACTAAAATTCAAATTTCATGTAATTTTCATGTGTCACGAAATATTCTTCATTTGCTTTTTTTTTCCCTAACCATTTAAAAATGTGAAGACCATTCTTAGCTTTTAGGCCATTTAAAAACAGGTGGTAGGCAAGATTGTGCTCACAGCCCATAGTGTGCTGAATGATGCTCTACACGTGGTCAGAATTGGTACGAAAGCCCCAAATTAAACCCACCCTTCAAAGAAGAACCTCAGTCCCCTTATTATTGGATTGGCAATCAGTTAACAAACACTTTGTGCCAGTTACACCAGTCTATTTGGAAGGAGATCTGGGGAAGAACAGGAGAAACTAGACTGGGTGGAAGGGCATAGGAATAGGTACAGCAGACACTGCAATTTCTCTGGGTGAGAGGAACAAGGCAGAGGGGTCCAAGTTCTCCATAGGGAGCACAGTGTAGACAAGACCAAGGTGAGGACAAACATAACCATCCCTCACCAAGACTGTGGTGAGGGGTGGTTAACTCCATTCTCCCCTTCTATAATCTCAGTTTAAATGGTAACAAGTTCAAACACTTATAACTACTCTTCCCTCCATGTAATCCTTCCCCACCAGGACCTCCCAACTACCTCCATCATAAGTATCTCAGGAATAGTCTCTCATCAGTTTGGAAAGTAATAATTGTGGGCAAGAGATGAGCAAGGCAGCCAGTTCTGCTTTGCAGTAGTTCACTGTCTACTTTGTCATTAGCTATGAATGCCTCTGAAAATAATGGCACAGCACCGGTAAATCCAGGAGGCTCTGGCTTTCTAACACTCAGCTCTGCCATCCCTTTCTAGCATTTAAAAATGGACTCTATTTGGCC